>NC_000014.9:76278379-76429894 GCF_000001405.40 Homo sapiens | reverse complement strand
TGTGCACTGAGATCCATTAATTACACACACACACACACACACACATAAAACTTAAACTCAGATTTTTCATCAATTCAAATTGACCTTCCCTCTGAGTAATCTGAACTGCCTATTTTATTTTATTTTTATTTTTATTATTTTTTTGAGACAGAGTTTTACTCTTGTTGCCCAGGCTGGAGTGCAATGGCACTATCTCGGCTCACCACAACCACTACCTCCCGGGTTCAAGCGATTCTCTTGCCTCAGCCTCCTGAGTAGCTGGGATTACAGGCATGAGCCACCACACCCAGTTAATTTTGTATTTTTAGTAGAGACGGGGTTTCTCCATGTTGGTCAGGCTGGTCTGGAACTCCCAACCTCAGGTGATCCACCCGTCTTGGCCTCCCAAAGTGCTGGGATTACAGGCATGAGCCACTGCGCCCGGCCTGAACTGCCTATTTTATTAATAGATGGTGTTTTTTTTAATCACTCCTGTGTGATTGAATCTTGGGTATGTGTATCTTTCAGCTTTCAACAATAGGTAACACTTTTCTGGACACACACTTCAGCACAGCTGGAGTCACTGAATCATAAGTTCTCAGAGATTTTTCTGACTACCCTGGTGACTTTCAGATAATAAAACAGCCCTAAGAAACTAATGACTTGCTCAAACTTACTAACTAGAATGCCAGGCTGCTTTGGGGGAGGCTGGGGCTGATGGGGGCAATAGAGACACAGCAAGTGGTGACCTGTTCTGGAGGATGAGTTGACTTAGAAAGCAGCCCCCCAATACCCTCTATGTCCATGTTGCTAACACAGCCCCGTCTCTGTGGTGGTGCCATTTTATTTGGCCTCCTTGGGAATATTTTCCTAATGATTTCTTTCTCTTTCTCCCCTTGGGGGCCCTCTGGGACCCAGGGCTGCAGGATGACCCAAGAGCATGGTGGCTTCAGCGAGAGTTGCCTCCCTCTGCACGCTCTGGAGCTCAGGCAAAAATCTGTAATTAAGCATCTTGTCGTTAGAAAGATTAGTCAAAACCAGGCTGATCCCCGACAACTGATTGAAATCTCATTCCGCACAAATTACGGCATGGAAAATAATAATGGGTAATTAGTGCCTTTCAATCAGGGCTTTTTATCCATGATTTTCCAGGCTGCAGGCATCACAATGAGAAGAGAGAGGCTCTACCAAGGCAGGAAGAGACAATTGGAGGCAGAGTGGCTGCCCTGGGACAGCTGGGAGATCCCAGTTCACTGGCCAAGCCCAGCACACATGAGCTCAGGCTCACGGAGAGTGGCCACTGCTGGCTTTTTGAAACTTCAGCCCTCCCTTGGGTCCTCTCAGTCAAGTGTCCTTATGCAGGGCCCAATGGTACCTGGTAGCTCTCACTTTAGTCCACCTAGCCTTGGCCAGCTCTGGGCTCTGACCACCACAAAGGGGTGTGTTTGAGGGAAGGACATCGAAAATTCAGAATATGCCCCCAAACTCACCTCTAGTATCCTTCTTTTCAGTAGCTATTGGAGTTCTGACATCTGTAAATTTAGCTTAACTTTTCTTAAATCTGTTTTTATTTTCACTCTATATCAAGCAGTGATGTGGCATAAATATCCTACCTCATGGCTGGGTGCAGTGGCTCACACCTGTAATCCCAGCGCTTTGGGAGGCCAAGGTGGGCGGATCACCTGAGGTCGGGAGTTCGAGACCAGCCTGACCAACATGGAGAAACCCCGTCTCTACGAAAAATACAAAATTAGCCAGGCATGGTGGTGCATGCCTGTAATCCTGGCTACTCCAGAGGCTGAGGAAGGAGAATCACTTGAACCCAGGAGGCAGAGGTTGTGGTGAGCCAAGATTGCGCCATTGCACTCCAGCCTGGGCAACAGGATCAAAACTCCATCTCAAACATATATATAACCCAATTACTGTCATTGAACACACTCAGTAGCCTCCAGATGGCTTTAATCCTCATAGTAGCCATGGCGCTGGGCCAGAGAGCTTTGTGGTTAGAGCTGGACTGTTTGGGTTTGAATCCTAGCTCTGCCCCTTATGAATGGGGTTATTTAACCTCTAGATGCTTCAGTTTTGTCATCTGTAAAATGGGGATGTGAATTATAGTATTCATCGTAGTATTCATCTCACAAGATGGTCTTGGGAATTAGTGAGTTAATGCAGAAAAGAGCTTAGAACAATGCCTGGCATACAGGAAGTACTTAATAAATATTAAGAGTTGTTTTTAGCATCCCTATTTGGTAATGAGGAGACAGCTTCCATTTAGATTCTTTAAAATGTTTAATGCTAAAGCAAGTAAGACTGTCTTGCTCCCTCTCTCCTTCTGTCATTCATCCATCCATGCATCTTCCCACCCACCCATTTCATTATGTATTTGCATGCCTGTTACTTTCACTGACACAGTCCCTTTTCAGGCAAAGGGGTCCCATATTCAGGCACTGCTAGAACTGACTGCCAAGCACTAGCTTCTCTCCTGTGAAGGACGTCTGACCCCAACATACATTGCCTGTCTTTCTGTGCACATGCATGTACACGTACACACACATACACACACACACACACACACACACAGCTCCTGCAGAAATTGCCATATTCTTAGAGACATCCTATATCTGCCTTCCTGGCTCAGCTTATTGACCCAGGGTGTGCTCCTGATCCAAGCTGGGCCAGTGAGTCTCTCCCATTAGATTTTTGGTGTCAGGGCTGCCTCTCCAGGGACAGAGGCAGTAAGATGGACAGCTCAAGAGCTGAGCAAGGTCATTCTTCCCTCCCATGTGCAGTGAGAGAGAAGAATATCGAAGCTGGCAGCAGAGAGAAGGAACGGTTGAGGCAGAGAGTCCTAGAAGCCCCAGTTACTGTTGGCAATTCCTCCCATGCCCCTGCAGCATCTCTGTTCAGGTGAACGAGCATGGCCTGATTCCCTGACACTGTAGTTTACTCAAGGGGGCTTCTCGCACTTAAACAAAAGAGTAGCTCACACACTGTCACTCATTCAACTACCATTGTCTTTAAACAATTTTTTTGTTTGTTTGTTTTTTTGTAGCGACATGGTCTCCCCATGTTGCCCAGACTGGTCTTGAACTCCTGGGCTTAGAAAATCCTCCCACTTCAGCCTCCCAAATTGCTGGGATTACAGGTGTGATCCAGTGTGCCTGGCCTCAACTATTGTTCTCTGAATATCTACTGCATGCTTGACACTCTTGCAGCTCTGGGAATATGTTGGTGAGCAAGGTGAATGGGTCCCTGTCCTCAAGGAGAGACAATACCATAGTTCATTGACTCCGAGCTGTACCATTTTTCCACATTTTACCATCTTGGCAATCAGAATTCACCTGAAATCAATGGCATGTCTTAGTTTAATTTAATTAGTGGTTCCAGAAATCATGGTGTCCCTTGCAATAGATGATGTCATAAATTCAATGACATGTGATAAATAAGTGTAGCTGAGACTGCTAGGAGTTCACCAAAAGTTAATTAATTTTCTTGCTAGACACCAGGAGGACTACATTTCCCAGTCACCCTGGCAGTTGGCTATGGCCATATGACTGGGTCTTGGCCAATGGGATGTGGGCAAAGTAATATAAGCCACTCCCTTATCTGGCCCATAAAAATCTCCCACAGACTCCTGCCCTCCTTCCCCACTCCACTCCCTCCCCTCCTGTCTCCTATTCCTCTCTCTTCCCCCATCTTCAGGCCAGGGGGCTCCAAGACCCTGGGGGATAGCAGAGCCACAAATTAGCAGGAGCCTGGGCCCCTGAACACCTTGTGAAAGGCCACCTGCCAAACGCCCTCACCAAAATGTCCTCTGGGCAAGACCTGCTTCTGCCGTGTTAAGCAACTGAAGCACTGGGATTGTATGAAATAATGACAAGTGTCATCCCCCCTAACATGATAAGTAAACAGCCAAATAGTATCAATGCAGTTAGTGGTGAGTGCTATGAGAAACAGCAGGGAGGGCTGGGTGTGGTGGCTCACACCTGTAATCCCAGCACTTTGGGAGGCTGAGGCTCCCAAAATTAGCTGGGCGTGGTGGTGGGCACCTGTAATCCCAGCTACTCAGGAGGCTGAGGTAGGAGAATCACTTGAACCCAGGTGGTAGAGGTTGCAGTGAGCTGAGGCGGAGGTTGCAGAGATCACACCACTGCACTCCAGCCTGGGCAACAGAGTGAGACCCTGTCTCAAAAAACAAACAAAAAACCAGCAGGGAGGACACAGCGTGGTGGGTCAGGGGAGTGTCCAGATAGAGCTGCCAGAGAGGGCTTCTCTGAGGAAGTGACATTTAAGCAGATACCTGAAGAAAAGAGGGAGGGGCCGCACAGGGAAAGCTCTATGTTGGAGGGACAGCAGGGAAATCTGTTGCTGGAAGGGAGGAGGAGGGGGAGGAAGGAGGTGAGGAGGGAGGGGCAGGCAGAACCCCCACACAGCCAGGGGCGCTCAGGCAGGCCAGGACCTCAAAGGGCATCCAACCCACCCCCATTCGATGCTTGAGTCCCTTTCCCTGAATCCCAGCCATGTGGCTACCTGCCTTATAAAGACCCCAGTGATAGGGAGATCCCTAGTTCAGGAGGCAAATATTTACATCTTGCTCAGAATGCTAAAAATAAAAATAAAAATAAAAGGTTTTTTTGTGAAAAGTAAAAGTATTTCTTCCCTCTGAGCTTCCAGTTACAGTTTATACAACCCCACCCCTCATGACCTACAGAACAAGTCTAAGCCCTTCCATGAGATAGCCCTCCAGACTGCGGAAGGCAGCTCCTGCTCCCTGTGGATCCTCCCCTCTCCTCACCAGGGTCAACATCCCCTGCACTTCTGAGAATAACCCATCTGCTCTGTCTTCTCTTCTTAAAGAAGAGCATCAGGCCAGGCGCAGTGGCTCACACCTATAATGGGATTTACAGGTGTGAGCCTCAGGGAGGCTGAGGCGGGCAGATCGCTTGAGGTCAGGAGTTTGAGACCAGCCTGGCCAAGATGGTGAAACCCCATCTCTACTAAAAATATAAAAATTAGCCGGGCGTGGTGGTGCATGCCTGTAATCCCAGCTACTTCAGAGGCAGAGGCAGGAGAATCACTTGAACCTGGGAGGTGGAGGTTGCAGTGAGCCAAGATTGTGCCACTGCACTCCAGTCTGGGCAACAGAGTGACACTCTATCTCAAACAAACAAACAAACAAAAAAGAGCATTAGAACTGAGCACAGCTCTCCAGGTGAGCTCTGCCCAGTGCAGAGCAGAGCAGTACTGACACCTCCCTCATCCTAGACACTATACTTCTGCTTATACAACCCAGGATGGAATCAGCGTTTAAGGTGCTTGGCTTATGTTGCTGACCTCCACTCTGATCACACATGTGACTGAGCCTCACTGCTGCCCCCTGTGCATTCCCAAAGGACAGTGTGCAGGCCCACACAACGAAGGGGACGACACTTCTATCCACTCCCTGGTCATGGCCATGGCCCTTTCTACATAGCCTTGTGCACACCAGGACAGGATCAGGGTCCAAGAAAGGGGATCAGCCAGCGCCCCAGGAGCAGAACCCACATAGGAAGCTTAGGGCTCATCCTGACTCAATTTTTCAGTCTTTGTGCAAATGGGCAGCCTGGGCAGATGACAAAGAGGCATCTTAACTCAGGTGGACAGATGGAGACTGGCCACTGTAGCCAGCTGAGAACCCTGTTCTGATCTCTGTAACAACAACAGTGCTCACATATGGAGGGCTTGCTCTATGCTCGGGACAATGGTTAGTAAATCACTGATTCCTTGCAACAACTAGTTGAAGTACTATCATTTCCCTCATTTTGCAGAGGAGCAAACTGAGGCCCAGAGGCGCTAAATATCTCGGCAGGGACCACACAGCCAGAAAGTGCTGTCATGAGTTACATCATGAAGGGGTGTAAGTCACAACATTCCTCTGCTGAAGACAGCCAGGGGCTCCAGTGAAGCAGGAGTCCTTTCCACAGCTCAGAAGGCCTCAGGATCTGCCCCCCAACCTCTGTCATGCTATCTCCTGCCCACTCTCCCCCCAGGTCACTCCATCCCAGCCACACTGGCCTCCTGGCTGGTTCTTGACTACACCAATCACGCTCCCACCTCAGGGTCTTTGCTCCCCGTATATGATGGCAGAGGCTTTCTGTTTTCTTTCCTGTCCTACTCCAGTGTCTAGAATAGACACACAGTAGGTGCAGAATAAATATTTGTTGAATGAGTAAGGAGGGTTAGGTGGGATCTGAGGACCCCAGTCAAACAACCATTACAGTTTCCAGAGGCCTGCACTCCCTCAGGATGTGACAGTCACCGGTCTGAGTCACAGGACAGGATCAAGGTCCGAGAAGAGGAGTCCACCAGCGCCCCAGGAGCAGAACCCACAGAGCCCCTGGGGTCCAGTGGAGCCCACAAAAGTTCTTAAAGGATCCACCTTGCCATCAGTTTCGATCGAATTCTGATCATCCTGGTTTAAAGAGTCTATGAAAGGATGGCGCGGTGGCTCACGCCTGTAATCTCAGCAATTTGGGAAGCCAAAGTGAGCAGATCACTTGAGGTCAGAAGTTCGAGACCAGCCTGGCCAACATGGTGAAACCCTGTCTCTACTAAAAATACAAAAATTAGCCAGGTGTGGTGGCACACATCTGTAATCCCAGCTACTCAGGAGGCTGAGGTGTGAGAATTTCTTGAGCGCGGGAGGCAGAGGATGCAGTGAGCCGAGATTGAGCCACTATACTCCAGCCTGGGTGACAGAGTGAGACTCTCTCAAAAAAAAAAAAAAAAAAAAAGGTTATGAAAGATATATGCATTTTTCTTATTTTCTGATTTTGGTTGCTTTTTTGTAAGTACCCCAAGCTACTTAATGTGTTGGGTTGGCAACTTAGAGAGGCTAGTCTGAGAGCAACTCATTGAGACATCTGCTTTCAAAATGCTAAAAACTAAATTTTAACACAAAATCAATGTAATTCGTAAAGAAACTGTGGGAAGTGGGGCTGGAAAGGGGTTGCTTGACTTCAGAGCCAGAACCCCACTGTGTAAACAAAAATGTTTCACGGCCCCCTGCCCTTGAGAGAGGGAACTGACAGGGCCTGGGCATGAGGGCTCTGGGCCCAGCTCGCCTGTGTCGGAATCCCGGCCTGTCACTGACTCGCTGTGCAACTGTTGCCTGACCTCTCTAGGACTTGGTTTCCTCATCTGCAAAATGGGTAATATAGACATACGTACCTCACAGAATTATTCTGAGGAGTAAATGACCCAATAATGTGAAGCATTGGGCACCTGTACATTGTAAGTGCTCGAAAATATGTGCTGTTATCTCAGCAATCTTGGGTACAGGTCCTGGCAGCCACAGCAAGGGTGGTCCCTACCCACATAGTTCTCAGTCATCTCCTCTGTAAACTGAGTATAAGAAGGAAATGTCGGCCGGGTGTGGTGGCTCATGCCTGTAATCCCAGCACTTTGGGAGGCCGAGGCAGGCAGATCATGAGGTCAGGAGATCGAGACCATCCTGGCCAACATGGTGAAACCTTGTCTCTACTAAAATACAAAAAAAATTAGCTGGGTGTGGTGGCACGTGCCTGTAGTCCCAGCTACTTGGGAGGCTGAGGCAGGAGAATCGCTTGAACCCGGGAGGCGGAGGTTGCAGTGAGCTGAGATTGCGCCACTGTACTCCAGCCTGGCAACAGAGTGAGACTCCATCTCAAAAAAAAAAAAAAAAAAAAAAAGAAGGAAATGTGGCAAGGGCTGTGCGTGTGCGTGCCCACATTCTGTAAGGGAGAAGCAGAGGTAGGGGTCACTCCCAGGCTCCTTGGCTTTCTAATCCAGGCCTTTGAGGGAGGGGACTGTAGCCACCAGGACTGCCCTTGGCAAGACTGTCACTTATCACACTAGCTTCTCCAGACGGGGCATTTTGACTATTGATCTGATAAATAAACAGCCTGCTGGCTCGATCAAAATGTTATTTTGCATTTCAATTACTGCTCACTGATGCAACCTTCATCCTGCAAGATGCTGCTGGCAATGGCAGAGCCCTGCCACTGGCTGAAGAGGTAGAGCCACCCCCTACCAGCGCCCAACCACACCCTCCCTCCCTGGGTAGTGAGGGGTCCTTGTGGAAGACAGCAGTTCTCAGGGAGGGGAGGGAGGAGAGTGACAGGGGGACTGGAGGGGCAGCTGTGGCAGGCAGGAATTCCGGCTGCAGGTGAGCCAGACTGGGACACACCTAACCTAGCCTGTGCCCTCCAGGGACCTCAGTGCCCCTGCTGCTTTGTGGAGTGGCCTTGGGCATGTCATTACACTTCACTGCATCTTAGCTGCTGCATCAGTAAACTGGATCCAAGAAAAACTGCCCTACTCCACTTGGTTGTTGTAAGGGTACATGGAGTAAACAGATGTGCAAGCTCTTTGGAAGAAAAAGAGACACAAATGCTGCTATATTATATAACCGAATAACAATACTACATTTCCTTTCTTTTTAAGCACTTGCTATGTGCAAAGCGCTTTACATATATAAGCTTATTTACTCCTCAAAATAACTCTGGATTTTTCATCCTAATTTATACATGGGAAAATCAATCGAGGCACCAGACATTGTCAGGTGGGCCCCACACCTTCCATGCACATGGAAAGGCAAAGATTTGCCCTCTAAGCCATCCTGATGCCAATGTATGGGATTTTAACCACTCTGGGGTTACACATCTCTGGAGGGGTGACTCCAGACAGGGCTACTTCTTCCCTATCCTGGCCAGCCTAGCCTTTAAAGGTGGGCAGAAGAGAAACGGGCTCTGTCCTCCTCCGGCTGGATCCAGGCTGGGAGGAGGGGCAAGGCTGCTGACAGCTGGCAGGCCAAACAGACTATTTCCTGGACTGCCTGAGTACTGGGACCAGTGTTCCAAGGCCAGCACCGGGCCCCAAGGAACCAGAGGGTGACGGGTGAGTGCTTAGGGTGCTCAGTGAGACACTGCAGGGGTCTGAATACCTGGGCACACCTCACTGCAGGGGACAGGCAGAAGAGGTATCATTTAGAGCCAGAGGAATCAGCAGGGCCATGTCATCCATGTGCACAGGTGGGGTGTGTGAGGGTGGTCTGCAAGCTCTGAATTTAGAAACTTTGAGGTGGATGAAATGGGAACCCCTGATACAAAGGGCATGGTGGCCACCGGTTCCAGGGGACCCCTTTTTGAAAAGGACCGTCCATCCCTCCAACCTCTGTGTGTTTTGGTTGAATTGAAGGTAATTTTTGGCCATTTGGCCAAAGTGCCAAAATTACTTTGTTCCTCACAGTGCACTGACCTAAATGTGTTGCTCTCTGTCTCTCTCTCTCTCTCTCATACACAAACACACACACACACACACACACACACACACACACACTCACACCCTGTAGGAGAAGACCTATTAGCTCATGCACTTAGAACTGTGGCCTCCCAACTCTCCCATTAATGTCGGAACTGCAACTTTGTAGTTTACATTTCAAGTTTTAAAATATAATAAATAGCACGAGTGTCTTCTGAGTTCTTATTATGTTTGGTAGAAAGAGCCCAGTGACTAACTGATATGGTGTCTGCTCTGAAGCTGTGTGTCCTAGAGACAGCCACTTGCCCTGTCTGGCTTCAGTCATTCTTTGTCCCTTCCTGGAAAGCAGAGAGCCCTCACCATCTGCTGGGGGGGCCTGAAGATACATGAAACAGGAGGTAAGACAGTTGGCTCTCTGGCAGGAAGCTGGACCATTGGTCCTGAGATTTACCTGGGAAGCTGCCCGCTAGTCATGAGCCTTTTGCTCATTTGCTCATGCTGGTTTCACAGGTAACTCAAGGGTTAAAAATGAAATTACCTAGAGAAAAAAAGTCTACATTACAAAATGAAACACTCACTGTAATGCAATGGCCTGAGACCAATATGGTGTGTAAAGACTGAGAATCCATAACTCTAGCCTCTTGCCCCGTGAGTCAGACCCCTAGCCGAACCCCAGTCCTCCTGACCCATGAGACAGACCCTCTCCATCCCAGGATCCAGGGCTCTGGGCTTTCCTGCCCACATCCACCCCAGAGCTGCCTGCCCCCTCTGCCGGGCAGCTCAGGCCAGCCTAAACTGGAAGGGGCACAGGGTCTCATGGCCCATGTGCAAGTCTTGACTTTGCCCTTCTTTCCTCCATGACCTTCAGCAGGTTCTTGACCTTCTATGAGCCTACAGTAACCCATTTTACTACCATAACTCATGGAGTTATTGTGAGGATCAATATAGAATACGACCTTCAAAGTGCTTCCTGCCAAGTTGTCACAACCTCCCCGCCATCCTCACTCTGGCATTTCACAGCCCCAGCTCCTGTGAGAGGAAGTGAATGTCTTCAGGGTAATCAGTCTCACCAGGGGCTTACCCAGCAATGAAACTGAGAAGGAACCCCAAGTTCATGAGAATTTCCATGTCTTATCCCAGCTAACCCTCATGAGGCTCGGGGGTGAATATTCTCACCCCCAGGATAAGAATGAAGCATGGAAGATTTCCTTGTTCAATGTCACTTAGTGGGTAGGGGGCAAGGCCAGGACTGAACCCAGCACCGTGTCCCCCACCCTTGATTCCTGAGTTCGAAGCTCGATCTCAACATTTTGCAGACTCTCAGCCGTGTGCGGTGGCTCACTCCTGTAATCCCAGCAGTTTGGGAGACCGAGGCAGGAAGATCACCTGAGGTCAGGAGTTCGAGATCAGCCTGGCCAACATGGCGAAACCCCATCTCTACTAAAAATGTAAAAATTAGCCAGGCACAGTGGCACATGCCCATAGTCCCAGCTACTCAGGAGGCTGACACAGGAGAATCGTTTGAACCTGAGAGGCGAAGGTTGTAGTGAGCCGAGATCGTGCCATCGCACTCCAGGCAGGGTGACAGAGTGAAACCTCGTCTCAAAAAAAAAAAAAAGTTTACAGGCTCTCAACATCATGATTCCAGATAAAAATAGATAGTTGAAAAATGGAAAAGCAAAGTACCTGGCCAGCACTTCTAAAAACTCTCAAGGTTAGGCTGGATGCGGTGGCTCACACCTGTAATTCCAGCAGTTAGTTTGGAGGCCAAGGTGGGCGGATCACTTGAGGCCAGGAGTTTGAGACCAGCCTGGCCAACATGGCAAAACACTGTTTCTACTAAAAATAGAAAAATTAGCCAGGCATGGTGGCAGGCACCCGTAATCCTAGCTACTAGGGAGGCTGAGGCACGAGAATCACTTGAACCCAGGAGGTGGGAGGTTATAGTGAGCCGAGATCGCTCCACTGCACTCCAGCCTGGGCAACAGAGCAAGACTCCATCTCAAAACAAGCAAACAAACAATCAAACAAAAACTGTCAAGGTTATGAAAATTATGGAAAGTCTGAGAAACTGTCACAGACAAGGGGAGACTAAACAGACATGACAATTAAATGCAGTGTGGGATTCTGCATGGGATCCTGGAAGAGAAAAAGGACATCAATGGAAAAATAAATGAAATCTCAATAAAGTATGGAGGTTAGTTCATAGTAATGTACCAAGGTAAGTTTCTTAGTTGTGACAAATCTATCATGGTAACATAGGAAGCTAACAAAAGTGAAAACCAGATAAGGGTTATACAGGAGTCCTCTGCACTATCTTGGCAATTTTTCTGTAAAGCCAAAAAACAATTTCATTAAAAAGCTTTTTCAAAAGTGGAAAAAGGTCAGGCGCAGTGGCTCACGCCTGTAATCTCAGCACTTTGGGAGGTTGAGGTGGGTGGATCACCTGAGGTCAGGGGTTCAAGACCAGCCTGACAAACATGGTGAAACCCTGTCTTACTAAAAATACAAAAATTAGCCACGCATGGTGGCGGGCGTCTGTAATCCCAGCTAATCAGGAAGCTGAGGCAGGAGAATCACTTGAACCTGGGAGGCAGAGGTTGCAGTGGGCCAAGATTGTGTCTCTGCACTCCAGCCTGGGTGACAGAGCCAGACTCCATCCCCCACCAAAAAAAAAAAAAAAAAAAAAAAAGTATGTAAAAGCCCCACCTGGCTCTGCCTCTTGGAGGAGAGAGGAGGCGCTCACTTGGCCCACCGCCCACCTGTCCTCACGAGGCACCTGCTTCTCCAGTGGCTCCTCCCTTATGGCCAGGGACTACCTGTGTGATGCCTCGGGCCTCTGGGAAGGCTTGTTCTTTCTGCCTCTGCACCTTTGCACCACAGATCCACTGCCTGCCATGCCTTCAGCTCTTGTCACCAGAAGTCACACTATAGTTTTACCTGTCAAGAGCCAAAAAGATGAGCAAACACTTCCAACCAGTTATTTCGCTGCTACAGAATTACCCCAACATAGTCAAAAGTCACATGCTTGAAATATGCTTGAAATGCGTGTTCGCTGCAAACACACACATATGCACGCACACAGGCACACACAGACGCTGCAGGAAACAACATTGATGTTGATTAATAACACCACATCCACTGGGTTGAATTGTGGAATAATGGGAACTAGAAGACACCAGAGAAACACACTAGGAACAAAAGCCAGTCTCTTCCATGGCCTGCAAAGCCTGTGACCTGACCCCAGCCACCTTTCCAACTTCACATCCCACCTTCCCACATTCCACCCACACTGGTCTCCTGCTCTTCCCCAAGTGTGCCAAGGTCATCACCATCCCAGGGCCTTTGCACTGACTGCTCCCCCTACCTGGAGTACCCAGATACCCACACAGCTCACCTCATCATTAGTCAGGTCTCTGCTGAGATGTCACGTTTCAGGGAAGACACCCTGACCCCTATCGATACTCTACATCTTTTTCTTTCTTTCTTTTTTTGTTTTTGAGATGGAGTCTCACTCTATTGGCCAGCTTGGATTGTTGTGGCATGATCTCAGCTCACTGCAGCCTCCGCCTTCTGGGTTCAAGCGATTCTCCTGTCTCAGCCTCCTGAGCAGCTGGGATTACAGGTGCCCGCCACCATGCCCGGCTAATTTCATATACTCTACATCTTATCCTGCTTTACTTTCTTCACAGCCATTCTTAATATCTGACATTCTATTATTTGTTTTATTGCTTCTCCGTTTATCATCTGTCCACCTAAGGTTAAGTTCCCTGAAGGCAGGGTCTTGGACTAATTGTTTTATCTCAGAATCAAGACACATAGTAGGTGCTCGGTAAATATATGAGTCAATGAACAAAACCCAGAGATGGGCCAGGAATAGTGGCTCACACCTGAAATCCCAGCACTTTGGGAGGCCGAGGCGGGTGG
Organism: Homo sapiens; assembly: GCF_000001405.40. Taxonomy (NCBI): domain Eukaryota; kingdom Metazoa; phylum Chordata; class Mammalia; order Primates; family Hominidae; genus Homo; species Homo sapiens. The sequence continues at coordinate 76,416,709 of NC_000014.9, read as the reverse complement.
ATCACCTGAGGTCAGGAGTTCGAGACCAGCCTGGCCAACATGGTGAAACACCATCTCTACTAAAAATACAAAATTAGCCAGGTGTGGTGGTGGGTATCTGTAATCCTAGCTACTCAGGAGGCTGGGGCAGGAGAATTGCTTGAACCCAGAAGGTGGAGGTTGCAGTGAACCACGATCACGCCATTGCACTCTAGCCCGGGCGACAAGAGTGACACTCCATCTCAAAAAAAGAGAAAAGAACAAAAAAGCAGAGACGGGGGGAAAAAATGCTATAAGTAAAAAAATAGAGGCGGGGCGCAGGTTCATGCCTGTAATCCCAGCACTTTGGGAGACAAAGGCAGTCTGAACTGGAGTTTGAGACCAGCTTGGCCAACATGGCAAAAACCCATCTCTACAAAAATACAAAATTAGCTGGGTGTGGTGGTGGGCGCCTATAGCCCAGCTACTTGGAGGGCTGAGGCAGGAGGATCCCTTGATCCCAGGAGCCAAGAGGTTGCAGTGAGCTATGATCACACCACTGCACTCTAGCCTGTGTGACAGAGCCAAGACCATGTCTCAAAAAAAAAAAAAAAAAAAGGGAAAATGGTACATCACTCTAATTATGTAATGTAAAAAGGGTATGTATGGAAGATCATGTTCCAAAATGGACATAGAAGTGACATTTGGGAAATTAGCTGATTATTTTACCTTCAAATTATTTAATACTGTAATATGGTATGAAACTGTGTAAAGAGGATAAGGTTTGACATCATTCAAAGTCTACTTCTCCCTCGCTTGCTGTTGACTGTAGGCAAGCCACTTATCCTCTCTGAGCTTTGGGTGTTTTGTCTATAAAAGTGATATCATATCCTTTTACTTAGAGTGTTGCTGTGGGGATTAAAAAGAAAATGAAAAGAAAGTGCTTATCAGGCGCAGTGGCTCATGCCTGTAATCCCGGCACTTTGGGAGGCTGAAACAGGAGCACCATTTGAGCCCAAGAGTTTGAGACCAGCCTGGGCAATACAGTGAGACCCCCATCTCTATTTATTTACTAATTTTTTATTGATTTTTGAGATAGAGTCTCACTCTTTCGCCCAGTCTGGAGTGCAGTAGCATGATCTCAGCTCACTGTAAACTCCACCTTCCGGGTTCAAGTGATTCTTCTGTCTCAGCCTCCTGAGTAGCTGGGATTACAGGTGCAAACCACCACGCCTGGCTAATTTTTGTATTTTTAGTAGAGACAGGGTTTTACCACGTTGGCCAGGCTGGTCTCAAACTCCTGACCTCGTGATCTGCCCGTCTCGGCCTCCCAAAGTGCTGGGATTGCAGGAGTGAGCCACTGTGCCCGGCCATCCTATCTCTATTTGATATAAAAAGTTTTAAAACAATTTAAGTGCTTACCACTGTACTCAGCACATAGAGGTGGCTTCTATAAAGTTCACTCTCCACACCCCTAAAGTTTGTACAAGGTATTTTGTCTTGGACTGAATCCAAATGTCACCCCTCTACAACTGTTCGAATTAGGCATTCCCCTCTGAAACTCCACTGAGCTTGGAACACACTAAGTTAAAAATGCTGGAGTTAGCGTCTTGCCAGTCCCCAACCCCACCCCACTAGCTCCTAGAGGGCAGGGCTCTTGACTTGCTCACGTCTGGGTCCCCACAGCACCCTGAGAAGTGCTGGCCCAGAGGTAGCTGTGATATTGAATGGATGGGCGACTCACAAACCAAGGCTGGGGGCACTCAGGTGTAGAGTTTTCATAGAATTTAAAAGTGAGGGGATTCAGAGGCTCATTTACTTCAATCCCCTTCTTACAGATGAGGCCCTGAGAGGGCCGGGGACTTGCCTCAGGTCACTAGGCCTGGGAGGACCAGGCTCCCAGCCCACACAGCCACCACAAGCCACTGCACCTCCAGGCCACGGGCAGTCCACCTGGTGCCTCTCTGGGAAAAGGCACCGGAGGAGGAGAGGGTTACAGAGTATCTCCTTCCAATCAGCGATTGTGCTAATCAATCAACTCAATTAAATCTAGAATAGTTTTTTTTTTTTTTTTTTTTTTTTTAAGGAACAAACAAAAACAGCAGCAGAAAGTAATGACTAATAATCAAGTAAAATTTGATTATTTCTGTGCTGACTGGTTGGGGGAGTGGGGATCTGAGACAGGTCACTAGAGCAAGCGAAGAAAGTAAAGAGGCAGAGACTGCAAGCTCAGCAACACAGGGGACTGAGCTGGGGAGGAACCACAGGGGCACAACTCAGGGCCCTCCGAAATGAAAACCGCCATCAGACGCAGAAGGTACTGCGCCCAGGCACTGCTCTAAGTACCGAACACAGATTAACTCACTTCCTATTCACAGCAACCCTAAGGGGTCAGAACTATTATGATCTTGTTTTATAGATGAAGAAACTCGGGAGCAAAATAATTTGGTTAAGGTCACAGCTGGGGTGGAGCCAGGATTTATTTGAACCCCTGTGGTCTAACACCAGGGTTTTTGTGCTTCAGGGCATGCAGTATGCAGGGGCGGGGGGACGCTGCAGGGGCGGGGGGACGTTGCAGGGGCGGGGGGGACGGTGCAGGGGCGGGAGACGGTGCAGGGGCGGGAGACGGTGCAGGGGCGGGGACGGTGCAGGGGCGAGGGATGGTGCAGGGGCGGCGGACGGTGCAGGGGCGGGGACCGTGCAGGGGCAGGGGACGGTGCAGGGGCGGGGACGGTGCAGGGGCGGCGGACGGTGCAGGGGCGGCGGACGGTGCAGGGGCGGGGACGGTGCAGGGGCGAGGGATGGTGCAGGGGCGGCGGACGGTGCAGGGGCGGGAGACGGTGCAGGGGCAGGGGACGGTGCAGGGGCGGGGGACGGTGCAGGGGTGGGGATGGTGCAGGGGTGAGGATGGTACGGGGTGGGGGACGGTGCGGGGGCCGCCTCTGCTGCATGTGGCTGGGGATGAAACACCTGCTGCACATGAGAAGTTGTTACTATTCGCTTACTTATTTCATTTACTACACATCTACTGAGTCAAACACAACAGGGACCCTGCCCCTAAGCTCAGTAGCTCATGGCAGATACAAATAAGTGATCAATGACCATAAAGTCACTGGACAATGAAGGATCTCAAAGCAATACGATAGGGTCACACACACATTCATGGGACCTGCGAGTGCAGAGGAGTGTCTAACCCTCCTTAGTGTAAGGTAGTCAGGGAAGGCTTCCTGGAGGAGAAGTTTAGCCTACGTCTTGAAGGACAAGTAGGTGTTTGCCAGGCCAAGAAGGGAAGAGGGTGGGGAATGGCATTCTGGGCACTGGGACCAGTATGTGCAAGTCACAGAGATAGGGAACAGCAGTATACAGCCAAGGAACTGGAGTTGGTGTGGGAAGTCCGGGACACAGGTGTGTGGCCGGGGCCGGGGCACAGGAAGAAGCCAGGTGGGGGTCTGTCAGGAGACCAGCATGGACAGGTGGGCAGAGGCCAGCTAGAAGATTCAACACCAGGGGTTTCGACATCACCCTTTGAGGGGCAGGCTCATCACACCAACAGCACTGCGGTGCAGCTTTGCCTCACCTGACTGCCTGCGCCCAGCTCTTTGCAAACTGCCTGCACAGTCCTCTCCTGCAATGCTGGGTCTGGGTAGGGTGGTCACCGCTCACTTTCCTCATCAAAGAAACCCAAGGCTTCAAGAGGTAAAATGACCAGTTACTCAGCTGGCTTAGAACTCGAGCCTTCTTTTCTTTATTTTTCTAAAGGCACAAGCCACCATCCCTAGTTAATTTAATTTAATTTATTGTAGAGATAGGGTCTCCCTATGTTGCCCAGACTGGTGTTGAACTCCTGGGTTCAAGTGATCCTCCTGCCCCGGCCTCCTGAGTCATTTGGATTAGAGGCCTGAGCCACTGCAACTCGGGCCTTCTGCTTCACAATCCTGTCCTTATTTCCCCCACCCACCTTTCTTTGCAATACAAATGCATTAGCAAAGCCAGCTATTTAAAGGAACCCCGCAGCTAATCCTTATGTAAATGGAAAATCTTTCAGCAAAGCTAATAATCACTCCATAATCCAGCAGTTATATAATTCTGGATTTTATAGTACAGCATCCAAAGCTGAGGTATTCTGGTCCCTTCAAAACCTTCTTTGTTGGGGGAGGATGGGGTTGGCATGACGATCTGGTGAAAAGGTGTGGTTTGCAAGGAGGAGGAGGATGGAGGCTCCCAGGTCGACAGCCCAGTGGAGGAGCAGCTTCCAGCCAGGGTAGGGTGGGAGAGAGGTATAGGGTACTTGGTGGTGAGGGAGAGGTAGAGGGGTAAAGAAAGGGGCTCAGCCCACTGGTTCCCACAAGACTGAAACCACATCAGCCAGGTTGTTCCACATCTTCCAAATACCAAGAAACAAGAAAGGGAACTACCTCCACTCCTCAGAAGGGGAAACTGAGGTACTGAAGAACATGAAGCCACTCCATCTATTCCTGTACCCCAGGAGCATGCCCCAAACCCTGCGAACAGCTTGGGCTGCAATTGATGCCTCTGTTCTCAGTCTTCCTGATTTGATTTTTCGTCCTGTGAGGGCGGAGTCCGAGGTCTGTTCTTCTTTGTGTGCCCCGCAGCACAGAGCAGAATGCCAGGTAAACAGCAGGTTCTCAATAAATGTGAGTGGGAATACAAATGGACTCACTTTACAGAAATTAGATTCACAACAAGGATAAAGAAGAATCAAGATCTTGATTTAAAACTGGTAAAGAGACGGGAATAAAATGGGAAATCATATTTATTGAGCATCTTTTGTATACCTGACACTATGCTAATTGTATTTAAAATGATACCAGCTTATTACACAGATTGTTTAAAAATATTAAATATTAAATAATAGTGTGATGATAACAGAATAATACTATTCTTATAGTTGAGGCAAATTGCACAGAGCAGATGAGCAATGTACGAAAGCTTCTCTAGCTAGTGATACTACTAATCACTAATATTTATTGAGAGATTACCATGTACCAGGTACCATGCCATGGTATTATTCCACCCTCCAAAGAACCCTCCGAGGTTGATACTGTGATTATCTGTTATGAAGCTGGATGCTGCCACACAATTTGCAGCACGTGCTGCCACCAGCATCCTCCTTCCTGCAACACACACAGTGTCTAGTAGGAAGTGGGCAGAACTCAAGATCCAGATAAAGCAGGCGAGGATTCACTCAACACACTCCACCCCTCACTCTCATAAAGGGGTACTGAACTGAAGGAGACCGTAGTAAAGATGCCCTTGCAAGTTCACCTCCTGTTTTTTTTTTGGAAGATGGAGTCTTGCTTTGTTGTCCAGGCTGGAGTTCGGTGGCGCAATCTCAGCTCACTGCATCCTCTTTCTCCCAGATTCAAGTGATTCTCCTGCCTCGGCCTCCCGAGTAGCTGGGATTACAGGTGCCCGCCACCATGCCCGGCTAATTTTTGTATTTTTAGTAGAGATGGGGTTTCACCATGTTGATCAGGCTGGTCTTGAACTCCTGACCTCAGGTGATCTGCCTGCCTTGGCCTTCCATAGTGCTGGGATTGATTACAGGCGTGAGCCACCATGCCCAGCCTTGCATCCTGTTTTTAGGATGCTTGGGTATAAGTGGACAAAACGATAGCATATGGATGGACCCAAGAAGAAATGAATGGGCCAGGCGCGGTGGCTCTTGCCTGTAATCCCAGCACTTTGGGAGGCTGAAGCAGGCAGATCACCTGAGATCAGGAGTTCAAGACCAGACTGGTCAACAAGGCAAAACCCCGTCTCTGCGAAAAATACAAAAATTAGCCGGGCTTGGTGGCACTTGCCTGTAATCTCAGCTACTCGGGAGGCTGAGGCACAAGAATCACTTGAACCCAGAAGGGGGAGGTTGCAGTGAGCTGAGATTGCACCACTGCCCTCCAGTCTGGGTGACAGAGAGAGACTCTGTCTCAAAAAATAAAAAAATAAAAAAAAATAAGAAGAAAAGAGTTGGAGAAGTAAAAACTCAAATATTTGCTGTGTTTATAGCTCTGAACAGCCCCCTCTCTTTCTGGGAAAGGCACATAAGAGAGCATATGATTTCACAGAAAGACCCCAGGATATAAAGCCAGACCACCAGATCATTCACAATTTGGATCCTGGCCCTTCACCAGTGGGCACTTAACCAACCTGTGCCTCCATTCTCCATCTGTAAAATGGGAACACCAAGTTTCCTCTGCAGGTTTCTTGGAGGGATTAAGAAAGCTGTGTATGAGTGCACATGGACAATTTTTGAAAATATTGTAAGGTTCACAGAAAACTTGGTAACTGTGGCTACTTTTAGGGATTCTGTCTAGGGGACCAAGGATTAGGGGAGGAAAAATACCCTACCAGTCACTGCCTGCACTCTCATAGTGTTTGACATTTTTGTTACACATGTGAATGTATTACTTTTTTTTAAAAGACTGAAAAAATGAAACAAAATGTATATATAATGGCTCAAAAATGGTAAGCAATACACCAAGTCTTTGTTTGTTTGTTTGTTTGTTTTGAGACCTGTCTTGCTCTGTCGCCCAGGCTGGAGTGCAGTGGCATGAACTCAGCTCACTGCAACCTCCACCTCTTGGATTCAAGTGATTCTCCTGCCTCAGCCTCCTGAGTAGCTGGGAATACAGGCGTGTGCCACCATGCCTGGCTAGTTTTTGTATTTTTAGTAGAGACGGAGTTTCACCATGTTGGCCAGGGTGGTCTCAAACTCCTGACCTCAGGTGATCCACCCCCCTCAGCCTCTCAAAGTGCTGGCATTACAGGACTGAGCCACCAGGCCCAGCCTGGTCCTCTTAGAAGTTTGCTTCATTCTCCCGAATGGGGTAAAACCATGAGACATGCACAGCCTTGGCAATCGCATGTACGGTTTATACTCCAGGACCTGCACAGAAAACCCTTCCCTTCTTCATTTCCTCAGCCTTCCCACCATCTCCCATCCCCATCCCCCAAAAACCCTCTCCCCAAAGGAGCCCCCTCAGCTTGTTTGGCTAATGTATTTGCAAACCAAATTAGGGGGGCCCTGGCTCCCAGGGAGGTCCCCAAGCCAGTTGCTAGATGCAGGGAATTAGATACCATCTCATGCTCAAATCCGATTAGGTCCCACCCCCGCCCCCACCCCACATGCAAAAGCCCACTTTCTAATCAATTTTACAAAGGGCCCTCTGCAGATATACACTAATGGTATTGAGCTGAGATCTTTAAACCAAGTCTGCAAGAAGTCTGCAGAGATAAAATGTACATACTATATTAAGGAGGAAGACCGTCGCCACGGCATCCTTCCCCTCAAAGAGAGAGGGACTGGGGGGTGCAGGCAGAGTGTTCGCTACAGTCAAATAACATCCTTTCTCCAGCCTCAACTGCTCTTTCTCCTTTCAAACTTAACCCACCCTCCAACTCCTTCCCATTTAGGCTGCTTGTCATTTTAACTTTCACCCGCTGGAGGCCCAAAAAGAGATCCAAAAACTGATACATACTTTCTCTAATCCTTGGTCCTCTAGGCAGCCTCCCCAAAGGTAACCATTGTTAGCAAGTTTTCTGTGAATCTTGTAACTTTTTCACAGACATTCCATGTGCACTCATGCACAGCTTTCTTAATCTGTCCAAGAAACTGTCAGGGGAAGCCTGGGCGTTCCCATTTTACAGATGGAGAAGTGGAGGCTCAGGTTGGGTTAAGTGCCCATTGGTGAGTGGATTAACACCTGACTCTGCCACTCACTACCTGCATGGCCTTAAGCTCAGCCTCTCTGGGCCTCAGGCTGTGCAATTATAAAATGGGAGTGACAACAATAGGCCCTATCTCAAAGGTTAAAGAGATGATATGTGTAATATGTTCAGAACAATGCCTGGTTGAAATGAAGCGCTCAATGGAAGTGAGCTCTTACTTCTCCACATGGCCACATTACTCCTCATATATTTTGTAACATTCACACCTTTCATGTAGAATGCCTTTTCCTTTTCCTTCATGCAGGAGCTTTCCCTGGCCAGTTTCTCACTCTCTCCTCCTAGCTCCTCCAGCACCTTGCTCATTCAACCAAGATTTACTGAGTGCCTGCTGCATGCCAGCTCTATGCATTTGGGGGCTGCCCACTGCTCTATGTAGTGCTTATCTTTTTTTTTTTTTTTTTTTTTTTTTTTGAGACAGGGTCTCACTCTGTCACCCAGGCTGGAGTGCAGTGGTGTGATCTTGGTTCACTGCAGCCTTGACCTCCCAGGCTCAAGCAATCGCCCCACCACCTTAGCCTCCGGAGGAGCTGGGACCACAGGCATGCACCCCCATGCACCTGCACCTGGTTAATTTTTAAAAATTTTTTGTAGAGACAGAGTCTTGCCATGTTGCTTAGGCTGGTCTCAAACTCCTGGGCTCAAGTGACCCTTTTGCCTCGGCCTCCCAAGATGTTGGGATTACAGGCGTGAGCCACTGAGCCCAGCCTGGGACATCATTTAACAGTTAAGTTCTTTAAGGACAGATGGGAACTCCTTTCCTTCTTTGTGTCTTCGTAGAAGGTGCTGAATAATTTCTGTAGAATGAACATAAGCATGAATCAATGAGTGGGGCCAGATAGCCTGAGGTGACCGTGAACCTGGTCATGTGCACTTTTTTGGGGCCAAGACCTGAAGTCCTCTCAAACCCGCCTGTTGACTCAGGGCCCCGAGACTGTACTGCAGGTAGAAATAACTGGAGCCAGACACTGTGTCCTCAAAGACTGGCCAGTGCCTATGTGACCTGAGGTCTGTGTGCTGCCTGGTGTCTGTGCTAGGGCTGGGCTGCCAGGACCCGGCAGTCCCGTGTCAACAGTCACCCACCAGGTGGTTTGGCTATAAGAATTCACAGGCTGCCTGGCACAAGCAAATTAGGCTGAGAGGCTCTGTCTGGCTTTCAGGAAGCAAGCAAGCTAGCTGCCTCCCTCCACGTGGGTCTCACTGGCTTTGGCTGCTCAGCATCCCAGTGCCAGCACCTCTGTCCCCCTTTCCAAGGTCACCAGGCAGTAATGTGGTATTTCTGCCCTCCTAGAGGCACCCAGACCACTCCCACAAGACAGCATGGTCTGCATCAATGCTCAGCCACGAGGGTTTTGGACTGAGTGTGAATCGGCCATGTGGCCCTGCTGGCCCGACTGGACCCAACTTACCCTCTGAGCAGCCTGTGTGACCTGCAGCTCCCAAATCACTGGATCACCTCTGGCCTAAACAGAACAGATGGGAAAGCTAGAGTAAGATCGCACTTAGATACCAGACTCTGGTCCCTAAACCAAAGTCAAGGTCAGAGGATTTAGCCTGGTGGCTCTGCTCGATGCAGGCTCTTCGGCCCTCAAACATGGAGAGGGGCAACCCCCGACTCTGGAACCATGGGCTCTAGGGTCACATTGCATTGTGGCTCTACATTTGTGTCCCGCTCAGCAAAATGACTAAAAAGTGACAGCTAGTTGTCAGCAAAGTCTCCTCCCAGCATAGGCTGATGACCAGCAGCATCAGTATCACCCAAAGAGTTTGTTAAATTCAGATCGCTGGTCTCTGCCCCCAACCGACTGACTCAGAATTTCTGAGGATGAGCTTCTGCCTGCATTTTAAGGACTCCTAGAAAGAGAAAATGTGCTGTGACTCCTGGGGCCGACGGCACATCAGCTTATCCTTTGAAGACTGCATTTTCTCTCACCTGATTCTCCCAACAGCCACTGGAGGCAGGGAGGGCCAAGATTCATTTATTCATTTGTTCATTCATTGTGCCAACAACCACGCATTTATTGTGGAGCCTTTAGGTGCCAGACACTGGTGAATACAACACATTCCCTGCCCGCAGGAGGCGGATCAAGACAGAGCACGCACAAGTAAACAGACTAATCAATAACAGAGGACTCTCCCTACCCAATTAGTCTGTTTATTTGTCCACATGGCATTAATGGCTTCTTAGCACTACATCTTGTGTTAGACAAGGATGGGCAAGGATGGGGCACTGGTTTTTTGTTTGTTTGTTTGTTTGTTTTTTGACGAAGTCTTGCTCTTGTTGCCCAGGCTGGAGTGCAATGGCATGATCTTGGCTCACCGCAACCTCTGCCTCTGGGTTCAAGCAATTCTCCTGCTTCAGCCTCCCAAGTAGCTGGGATTACAGGTGCCTGCCATCATACCTGGCTAGTTTTTTGTATTTTTAGTAGAGACGGGGTTTCACTATGTTGTCTAGGCTGGTCTCTAACTCCTGACCTCGTGATCCACCTGCCTCAGTCTCCCAAAGTGCTGGGATTACAGGTGTGAGCCACTGCACCCAGCCGGGGCACTGTTTTAACCAATGTGACATTTGAGTAGAATCTTTAATGAAGAGAGGAAGGGAGCTAATGGGTATCTGGAGAGTTAGGGGAAGAGCTCCCCAGGCAATGGGGATTAAATGAACTAGATATCAGAAAACCATTGAGAACCAAGCCCTAACTCCCAGCCCCAACCCCACCTCCCACCCTCAGAGACCCTCAGAGACATCTCCAGTCAATGCTTCATTTTTCTCCAGTGTCCTCCCTTGCCTCTTCCTTACTCTGTAATTTCTTAGGGCCGGAGCAGGGGCGGTTTGTCCACTCAGCCCTGTAGGCACAGAGCTTCTGGCCTTTGAGTTTTTCCAAAGACCTTCAACATGCTTGAAATATGCAAATACATTTTTAATCCCCAAATATGAAAAGGAAAAATGCAAGATCAAAATGTTTAAATGTGTAATTAAATGTCCACAAAGCACAACCTAATGTCAACTTGCTTCATTAATGGTATATTCGTAAACATTTCATTATGTTAGAAAATAATTTATAGGTTAGATTTTCTTTCCCTTTTTCTGAGACAGGGTCTCACTCTGTCACCCAGGCTGGAGTGACGCGGCACAATCATAGCTCACTGTAACCTGAAACTCCTGAGCCTCATATTCCTTGGCTCAAGTGACTCTTGCCTCAGCCTTCCTAGTAGCTAAGACTACAGGTGCATGCCACCACACCTTTTTTTTTTTGAGACAGAGTCTCGCTCTGTTGCCAGGCTGGAGTGCAGTGGCGCGACCTCAGAGAGGCTTGGCAGGGAGAAGGGCTAAATCCTAAGGGTAGTTTGGCTACAGCAGGCCATGTGCAAATCCCGAGCTTTGTCCATTTTCCTTCTGTCTTTTCCTTTGTCCATTTTCCTGAGGTCTCACCAACAAGCCCCCTGGAAGCATTCTACCTCTTCTGATCATGCTCATGGACTTAAATGCCCAAGATAAACCACCCACACTACTTCCCAAGGCAACTTACAAGGAAACACTCCCATTATCGGTTCATCTGCCCTCTAGGTTCCAGGCCTTCTTCAGTTCTGGGAACCAGATGGGCACAGTGGCTCACACCTGTAACCCCAGCAGTTTGGGAGGCCGAAGCAGGCGTATTGCTAGAGGGCAGGAGTTTGAGACCAGCCTGGCCAACACAGCAAGAACCTGTCTCTACAAAAAAAAAATTAGCCGGGTGTAGTGGTAGTGGTGCAGTGGTGTGTGCCTGTAGTCCCAGCTACTTGGGAGGCTGAGGTGGGAGGATTGCCTCAGCCGAGGAGTTTCAAGTCTGCAGTGAGCTCTGATCACGCCACTGCACTCCAGCCTCAGTGACAGAGAGAGGCCCTATCTAAAAAACAATCAAACAAACAAAGACAAAAACAAAATCTGCGAGCCCATCCTTCCCAAACAGCTTCTGAGGTGTCAGGCTTAAAGTTCGTGTCTATGTAAATACACACAGGAGGGCAAAAACTCAGGAAATTGCTTTAGAAAACGATGCAACCAGAATGTCAACATCCAGCTGGGTCTGTCCCCTTCTGAGGGGCTTCCTGGGTCTCTCTGTCCCTGTTCTTTCATACTGAGCCCTCCTCTATAAGGGGAATGACCATTAGAGATAGTTTACTGCCCACAACAAAATACTGATCTGATTACCGTGCCCTATTTATCATCTCTGAGTTAAGGACCTCAGTGGCCAAAAAAACAGCTAATCTTCTTGGTTCCAAATGATTTTGTTGCTTTTAGAAAAAAAGTCAAAACCATCATTAAGTGTATTTTCAAAAGGCTGGGCTGGAGCTGTTGCCAGAGACGATTCTAAGCACTGGGAAGGGGAGGGAGAAAAGGAGGCAGAAACAATAAAGGAAGAGGAGACGGTGGAGGAAGAGGTGAAGGTGGCTGCAACGCTGACTGCCATTTCCCAAGGGGCTCTGCTGAAGGTGTAAATTCTAGGACATTAGCTAAGAGATCACAGCCCATGGTCTGGCCATTCATTCATTCACAATATTTATTAGATACCTCAAAGTTCTGGACACCATTTTGGCAGGGAAAAGGAAGTCCTTGACCTCAGGAAACTTTTATTCTGGTGGGAGAGACAGATAATTAATTATATTATATAATATTATATAAATAATATATATAAAGAATTTAAAAGTACTTTGTGATACAGGAATACATTTATGTGTGGTATGTATCTACACACACATATGCAGACACACTGTTTGTGGGCACTCCTATGGCTAGGTCCCTGGTGAGTACTGGTTGCTGAAGACACACGCACGCGCGCACACACACACACATACACATGAGACTCTTCCTTTCTGGAACACCCTAATGCAAAAATAGGATGCAACAACCTTGTTTGCACAGCAGATAGACAGAAAGCACACCAGATATTTGAGAGTATGTAGACTTGTCCAAGTCACACCAATGATTGGAGCACAAGAAGGTCCTGCTCCCAGCCGGGCATGGTGGCTCACGCCTGTAATCCCAGCACTTTGGGAGGCCGAGGTGGGTGGATCACCTGAAGTCAGGAGTTCGGGACCAGCCTGGCCAACGTGGTGAAACCCCATCTCTACTAAAACTACAAAAATTAGCCGGGCGTGGTGGAGGGTGCCTGTAATCCCAGGAGGCTGAGGCAGGAGAATCGTTTGAACCCAGGAGGCGGAGGTTGCAGTGAACTGAGATTGTGCCATTGCACTCCAGCCTGGGCAACAAGAGTGAAACTCTGTCTCAAAAAAAAAAAGATGGTCCTGCTCAGCAGGGTCTTACCACCTGTCACCACCTCCACCTCTCTGGCACTCTCAGGGACCACCTCTGAGGGCACCGGGGCCTCGTGCAGCAAGGAAATGTAGAGCTGAGCAGGGTCTCTCTGTCACCAACAAGGCAGATGATGGCTCAGAACACCCTGAGCTATGCTCTGCCTTTCCCTCTTCGACATGACCACATCTTACCCTCATGCAAAGTCTGTCTTCCCTAACAGTATTATACTTCCTCCCATTCCCTCATCTCTTCATTTTCCCTTTTGCCATCAAAAGGCATCCTATCAGTTAAGGACTTTCAGATAAACTGTTTGATTTCAAACCACATGCCTGGTGAGGCCTCTGTTTTGTTTTTGCCTATAGATTTCCCAGCCACACAGTGGGAATCAGGGTAGAGTGGTTAAGGGCATTGTTCTAGAGTCAGACAGGACTAGGTTCAAATCCTGATTTCCCACTTGTGAGAAAGTCACACAACTCTGTGCGTATTTCTTTATCTGTAAAATGAGACACTAGTTCCTAATGCAAAAAGTGGTTGAAAAGATTAAATGAGATCATGCATACAAAGCACTTAGCACTCAGCCAGTACCAAGTAAACACCCTCTAAGTGCAGCTGAATTACAAATTCTGGCTGGGTGTGGTGGCTTACACCTGTAATTCCAGCACTTTGGGAAGCCAAGGCAGGAAGATTGCTTGAGCCCAGGAGTTTGAAAGCTGCCTGGCCAATATGGGGAGACCCTGTCTCTACAAAAAACACAAAAGTTAGCCAGGTGTGATGGTGTATGCCTGTGGCCACATCACTGGACTCCAGCCCTCCAGCCTAGGTGACAGAGCAAGACCCTGTCTCCAGGAAAAAGAAAAAAAGAAAGAAAAAGAAAGAATTCCCAGAGCTGAGTGGGATGTCATGCCTGTAGTCCCAGCTACTTAGGAGGCTGAGGCAGGAGGGTAGCTTGAGGCCAGGAGTTCGAGGCCAGCCTGGGCAACATAGCGAGACCCGCATTTCAAAAAAAGAAAAGAAAAGAAAGAAAGAATTCCCAGAAAGTTCTCTCTTGAGTCCTTTCACTTTGGGATGCAGCTTGACCATGACAGTGCCTGGAAGCCTCAAAATGCACCACAGCCCCAGTCATGGACAGACCGCTTTCTTGCAGCTGGCACAGCAGTGTCTTTCTAATGTTACATCTCCAGGGTGGTGTTTCCCAATGGATAGTTCCCAGAGTCATGGGATTCAACAGGCATCATGGCCCTTCCCTCCTTCCCTCCTCCCCAGTCCCCACAAAGTACCATGGCCAAATAAATAAGGAAAACACTTGAGTGAACAAGTCAAATAGGTTTCTTGACTGCATTCTCAGAACCTTTACTACACTAAAATGCCCTGGAAGGCCGAAGACAGGGCCATGGTTTACAAGAATCTCCCAAACTCATGTGACTGCTATGATGGTTAATTTTGAGTGTCAACTTGACCGGGCCATGGAGTCTCCAGATATTTGGCCAAATATTATTCTGGGTATTTCCATGAGGGTGTTTTTGGATGAGATTAGCATTGAAATCAGCAAATTAAGTAAAGCAGGTTGCCCTGTGCAATCATCCAATCAGCTAGAGGCCTGAATAAAACAAAAAGACTGACCCTCTCCCAAGAGAAATAAAATCCTTCCTGCCCAATGGCCTTCAAATTGGGACATCAGCCTTCTCCCGCCTTTGGACTCAGACTGAAATATTGGCTCTTCCTGGGTCCCAAGTCTGCCTGCCTTTGGACTAGAATTACACTGTCAGCTCTCCTGGGTCTCCAGCTTGCTGACTTACCCTGCAGATTTTGGGACTTGTCGGCTTCCATAATCATGTAAGCTAATTCCTTATAATAAATCTCTTTATATACATAAATAAAGGATATATACACACACAGTCATCCATTGCTTAATAATGAAATGCATTGTTAGGAGATGTCATCATTGTGTGAACATCATAGAGTGTACTTGCACAAGCCTAGATGGCATAGCCTACTACACCCCTAGGCTGTATGGTAAAGCCTATTGCTCCTAGGCTATAAACCTGTACAGCATGTTACTGTACTAAATACTGTAGGTAATTGTAATACAATGGTATGTGTATATCTATACAAAGAAAAGGTGTAAAAAATGCAGTGTTATAATCTTATGAGACCCCATCATATATGCAGCCCATCATTAACTGAAATGTCATTATGTGGCACATGACTATACATCGTATTGGTTCTGTTTCTTTGGCGAACTCCCCAGGAAGCTGTTTCCCCTGAGAGTATCTTGCAGTACTAAAGTTCCACGAATGCTCAAGGAATGCTGCAGCTGAAGGTCAGAATCGAAGAGGGCTGGAGGCCTCCACTCCCCACCCACTGCCCAGAAATTGGGGCCACCATCAGCTGGGTGACACTGAGGTGTTCCCTGAAGTAATCTATCCTCACGGTCCCCATTCATCATGGTCTCTTTAATCTGAAGTCTTCCAGGCTGTAAAGACCAGCCAGCGTGGGGGATTTGGAAGGCTCACTCTTTCATGAATGACAACTCCCAGTCTGTTTCGAGGCTTCCTCTTTTGTTCCCTTTTCCTATGACACAGGATGTTTAGTGCCTTTTCTCGTCTCAACCCTCCCATATGAATATTGGACAGTGTAGGGCTCAGTAGTGGCCTGGGCCGGAGCTGTGATCACACCCGGGGTAAAACGGCAAAAGGAGCCCTTCTTCTCACACATGTGTCTGGCAACTCCCTGCAAGAGGCCAGAGCTCAGAGCACAATCAGGGAGAGCGAGAGGACCACACTCTCGGTGCTGCTTAAACCAGCGAAGAAATCTTATATCTCTGGACCTTAGAACCAGCTGCCCTCTGCACAGAGCAGAAGAGCAGAGCACCAATGGGAAGAGGAGAATTCCTGGGCTAAATGGAGCCCCACCCATAGGAGCCTGCCCGTTGGAGGATGGCGGATATAAACAGTTGTTCGTGTGTCTTCACTTTCTGTCCCCAGGTTCCCTACAGAGACTTAAGGCCCAGCTTGAGGACAGCTAGTTTCCAGTTTCTGGGTTCTAGGCCAGTGGTTCCCATCTTCCAACCACACAAGATAATTCCCACTCCCGTTCACCACCACCCAAACTGGGACCAATACAAAGTTGACGCTATTTGTCAAGTGAGAACATAAAACGTGGGAAAAGGCAACCTAGTACAAGCATCACATTATAAAAGAAAAACCATTTTCACATCCCAAATGAGGAAGACTCTAACCTGAGAATCAGGGACAGACTTCAATGGAAGCGGTTCCTTTTGGAAGGCTTCCGGCTCTTGTCATTTCCCTCATTTTGTTCAAATCTGCAACGGTCTTCAGATGGAAGTCCATCTGCCACTATTCAGAGTTCTCTGCCCTGTGCTCTTTCTCCCCAGATTATGTTCTCAGCTTGCTATTTTCTTATTCAAAACTTCTAAATCTCTACCTTTCCCAGAATGGCTTCTCTAGAAGTTTTCCCAGAAGGAAAATGTCAAAGGACGGCAGTACACGAAGTACCCAGTTGAAGGGCTCCCACTGCCAGGCTAATTCTCAAGAGCAGATGAGGTACCAGGAGCAGGAGGGGGTGTGTATCCTTCCTCCCTTCTGCCCCCAGCTAGACTCTTGCAAGCTCTGGCTCATTCGGCCCTCCCAGCCAAAGCAGCATGGGTTCTGTTGGGTAATTTGCAGGTTTGGCTGGTAAGATGAGAAAGGTATAGGCATCTTGCTGGGCCATTATTTATTCCGCATGGATCAGGGACTGAGCCTGACCTGAGACGGCCACAATTACCCCAGTTCCACTGGACACCTATATGACCTCCCACCGAGTTTGCTCCTTGAAACGGCAGCATCTGGTCAGGAGCAGCAGGGTGTGACTGTGAAGTCAGGAGACCAATTGTGACCAACCGGTATTTATACACCCTAGTGAGCGCTGTCCCCTTCCTCATGGTCACCCTGGGCATCTCTTCCCAATTCCCAGTGATGCTGGCTTTCGTCAAAGCATTTTTGGAGTTCCTCTTGGGAGCTGCCTTTCAGCCCAGATTATCTGAGAAATAGAGTCACATCCTCACTTTCTTTGTAATCAAAAATCTCTTTGCTCAGCTCTGTCACCCAGCTAATTCCCTAGACTTGCCTCCAAATGACCTTGGCTGCATTAAACATTAAATCCACCCGGAATGGAAGGAGACTTGCCATCAGCGAGCATATTCAAAGGGGATGATGTGGGCTCTGAGGGCATAACGAGGAGGAATGAGCGGCGGGGACATTGCTAGGAAGCCTCCTGGAGTGCACATCCAACCTGTGTTGGCTGTTTGATTTCACCTAGCCTAGCATTGATTCAGGGAGTTGGGATTCTCTTATCCTCATCAGGCAGATGAGAACATAGAGGTTCAGAGGCTAAGTGGCTTGTCTAAAGATCACAGAGCAATACCAGGGAACCCCTTGGACTCCGTCACAGGGAGCTTCCTGATGGATTGTCAAAAGCATAGGACTCCTTTAAATAAAGATATATACGCGCTGGTTAAAACACACGGCTGGCCAGCAAGCCACCCCCGTCTCCCTCATCACACAGCCACAGGAACCTTCCCTCCCAGACCATCCACATCTGCTGTTTGGACCCATCTGCAAAAAAGGCAGGCTGCAGCCAGGGGACAGGTGGTAATTTCAGTCCCCAGTGTACTGAGTTCAGCAAGACACTTGGGTCTCAGGGTCTCCATCAGGAAAATGAGGATTTAAAAAACCCCTAACCCACCTATGCAACTGCATCCTTTCTGTCACTTCCTACAGTCCCCTCAGCAGACAGAGAGGCTGAACCGAATCAAATGCAGGATGGTGGTGGTGAGTTGGGACTTAGGAGGCAGGCAGACCTAGGCTGGAGTCAGACTCCACTGTGTGCTAGCTCAGCAACCTGAGCAAGGCACACAGCCTCAGTTTCAACACTTGTAAAAGGAGGAGCAGAAGAGCTTCTACCTCACAGGGTTGTCACAAGGATTCTATCAGCATGTGTATCTGGGAACTGGAATGGTTGACCCCGAATGCAATGCCCAATGCCAACCAGCCTCTTACCCCATACGTATGCCCCCTTGACTACCTAGAGAGAGGCAATCCTCTCCTCTGACCCCTTCCCCCACAGCCCTACCCTCCTTCCACCCACTGCACCCTGCCAAGAAAGGGCACTGCCTCCCTACTCTAGGGAAATACAAATGAAAGGTGACAAGGTGGTAAGCAGCAAAGCAGAGACCACCCCATTTCCTAGCTGCCTTTGAACTCTGATGGGGGAAGCAATAACAAAAAGCGGACTCAGTTTCCAACAGAGAGAGAGATTGAAATATGGGGGAACTATTTGTCTTCTGCAGGTGTGTCCAGCACACTGGACTTTGGAGGTGGGTCTATGTTTAAATGCCAGCTTTGCCTTGTGTTAGATCTGTGACTTTGGGGGTGCTACTCAACCTCTCTGAGCTCCTATTTCCTCATCTGGAATATGAGGAAAATGCAAGTGCCTACTTTGCAGGACAGTTGTGAAATTCAAAAGTACTAACTGGGTAATGCACGATACACTGTGCCTGGCATATAGGAAATACTTCAATGCATGCCAGCTAGCAGGGCTATTGAACCAATTTTCCAACAAAGCACAAGCTGGCGTAGGAGGCACTGCCCCATGTTTAAAAGGCTAGACATAAAAAAGTGAGAGAATATCCAATGAGGCCCTGCATGTGCCCATCCTCTGTTCCCCACTGATATGAAACAAAGGGGTTTATTCAAAAGGGGAAAGTGTGCAACAGATAGTGCAAGCCCCTGGCTGCTGTTGTATCTTCTATAACCTTCCAAACAGGTCAACTTTGCATGCACATACCTCCTGCCACAGGCGACTTTCTGCTCAGGAGGTAGTGCATTTCTGAGTATCAAACCTCGAGGTTATTCAGAAGCCCCCTTTTTGCCCCAAATTATTATTCTTTTAAATGTTTTATTCTTTTTGAAAAATAGAGACAAGGTCTCGCTACATTGCCCAGGCTGGTCTCGAACTCCTGGTCTCAAACAATCCTCCTGCCTTGGCCTCTCAAAGTGCTGGGATTAGAAGCACGAGCCACCATGCCTGGCCTGCCCCAAATTATTTTGTCTCAATTTTTGCCCAAATTTTGTCCAATAAATCTATTTTGGAATTACTTTAAAGCCAGCAAGCCCAGCCTCCGTAAAGAAAATATGACTCTGTGACTGAAGCTGGGATTCCCAGGGTAAGGTCAAACTCCACACATTACTGACACCCTGGATGGGGTACCTGGCGCTTTGGCTGTTTTGCGTGGGTAGCATCAGAGGGCAGAGAAGGAAAGTCAGAGCGGTCACTCCAGGAGGTTCTGCTGCCCAGACTGGCCCTGGGGGACTGGCCTGCTGGGTGCCGTTGACTGGGGTCTTGGCCGCTAGGGGGTCCTGGGTCACCTCTACAAGCCCCCTCCTGAGGCATCTGTAAGATGGGGGGCTCAGGCCCCACAGGCAGCCTCTGGAGGTGCAAGTCTATCTGTGACCTGAATCCGAAGGCCCTGCCAAAGGAATAACAATGAGAAATGTCACCAGGCGCACTCTCTTTGATGTGTCCCGACTAGGGGAATTGGTGTCAGAAGACACACAGAAAAGCCAGATGGTATTTTCCAGGGTCATGGTCCACCATGGAATGAAGCCCAGGGCCCCTTTCATGTCCTTTCCCGAGTCAGTCCGTGCCCGGGCGGCTGGCGTGGGAGGAGAGGCCGCAGAGACACAAGATTAATGGCTTCCTGGGCAGGTGAGCAACCACCCACTCGGGTAGTCACGATCCTCCAGCGACTCCCTCGGCCTGGCTCCATGAGGCGTGAAGTGGAGAGAGAATCTAGTGGTGAGGCCAACCCTTGCCAACCCAGGCCGAGCCTGGCTGCTGCATCTACCGCCAGCGCTGGCTCCGGGAGTTGAGCCTCCGGAAGTTGAGCCTCCGGGCTAAGCCTCTGTCTGGGTTTGTCCTGCTGCAGGCAGAGGCACAGGCTTGGTAGCATGTGCACTGCAGGGGACCAGGGGAGCAGGTGGGCAGGGACCTGGAGCAGGGACAGAACCTGGTTTCTAGAGGACTGTGTGTCCAGAGAGCTGACTTCCAAGTTTTCATAAGGATCCTTTGTATTTCAATGTTTTTCTTAGAAAGGTTTATTAGTTTGCTGGCTTGTTTGCTCACACTTGGTTCCCTTAACTTACACATTAAAATTGTTTTCATTATAGAATATGTACATACAATCAAAAGAGTCAAAGTTAAAGGTAAAAATCTCTCCCAATACCAGGATTCTTAAGCCCATTCCCTACAGCTAACTCAAAGGACAGTTTTTTTTAATATCTCTTTCCCCAAGTTTCAAAAGCATATACCCAGCATTTAGAGCTTAAAAAGCCATACATGTGATTTTACTCTATCCACTGTCCAGCTACTTGATTTTTATTTTTACTCAACTCTATGTTGCCTGTATTTTTATCTCAGTCCACATGAACCTGTGAAGGCTGTTTTTTTGTTTTTTGTTTTTGTTTTTGTTTTTGTTTTTGTTTGATACGGAGTCTCACTCTGTCACCAGGTTGGAGTGCAGTGGCGTGATCTCGGTTCACTGCAACCTCTGCCTCCTGGGATCAAGCGATTCTCCTGCCTCAGCCTCCCGAGTAGCTGGGACTACAGGCACGCACCACCATGCCCAGCTAGTTTTTGTATTTTTAGTAAAGACGGGCTTTCACCATGTTGGCCAGAATTGTATCGAACTCTTGGCCTTGTGGTCCACTTGCCTCAGCTTCCCAAAGTGCTGAGATTACAGGCGTCAGCCACCATGCCCGGCTGAAGGCCTCTTTTTAATGCCAAAGCATTTCTCAACCCCGCCCCCCACCCCAAGTACCAAGTATCATAATCTTGGTACTTTTAGTCTTTATTAGGTGGAAAAATATATAATAACTCCTAATTAAATAATACTTTAAAATGAATTTATAATTTTCTTTTGAATGGTCATAGCCGTGTTTACAGAGAATGCTTGGGGCATCTCTGGTTTGTGAGGCTGACAGTACCCTGCATAAAAGCATTTTGCAAGCATTATTTTATTAAATTCTTCTGCAACCCTATAAGAGAAGGATTCTTATTCCCACTTTTCAGATGAGGCCAGCGTGCACAGGGAGGTTAGGTGACTTGCCCCAGGGTACACACCAAGGGAGAGTTGAGTTGTCAGCTGAATTCATACCTGTCTGACATCAAAGGTCCTGCTTGCTCTGCTGCACCACACAGGGGCTGTCTATTCCTTTATGTTCTTCTAGTGTGGGCCGTGAGTCCGGAGGGACTCCTTCCTCCACACGCCCCGCTGCAGCCCCCGGGGAGCCAGTGGTGTTCAGATCCATGGTAATATTGCCAGACCCTCAAGTGACCTCGGAGCAGGGATGGCCAGTTAGGTACTGACCTTGGACACAGGCTGGAGTAGCTGGGATGCTGCCTGACAGCAGGACGATGCATTCATATTTCTATGCCAGCCATGGAATGAGGCCCCGGGAAGACCAGCATGAGCCAGATAGTGCACATGGCTTAATTCTCAGGTAGCTCTTACCTCTCTATCTCCTCCTCCCACTGGGCGAGGGGCTGACTGTCGGAAACGGAGAGCTCCTACTGAGGTCACCAAGGGCAAAGAAGAGCCTACAGGGATGGCCCGGGGAGAGAAGTGGGCCCACATAGGGAGATGATGGCAGCAAAACCTGTGAAGGAGGCCACCTCGCCCAGACGGCCAGCTCATCTTCCCTCCTACCAGTTTTCCCTCTATCAAAATTATTTTTATCTTTTAATTTTCTTACATGGGAATGGTTCATGTCAGTCCGTCCAGCCATCCTCTGGCTCTGCGTGGCTCCTGCAGTCTCCTCGCCCTGCCCAGCCTGAGGTGGGTATGCAGTGACACTGGCACAGTGACATCACTGATCTGCACTGCCTGGCCCGAGGCTCACCATTTAGGTACTCAGAACCCCAAGGTCAAAGAGGCCCTCAACGCAGCTGACAGCAAACAATTTGCATCCACAAGATGCAAGACAGCTCTGGGTAAAGGTCAAGAGGCCAAGCCCTGGCTTTCCTTCTGCACCCAAGCTGCAGAACTGTAGCCAAGGCCCTCATCAGCTCAAGCCCTCAGTTTTCTCTTCTGTAAAATGAGGGCGCTGGAGCAAATGAGGCTCCCTCCCAGCCCCCACAAGGCTGCATCCTCTTTGGGGAGGAGAGTACCAGCCACATGAGGTGCTCAAGGGATACCAGGTGAATCTTCAGTACAAAAGGCCCAGAAAGAGGGAAGGAGGCAAAACATATGAGTAGCCACAAGATGCACTTTGCACAGCGCCTGGCTCATAGTGGGCAGTCAGAAGATGTTAGCAAATATTACTATTGTCGTGAGCATCAGCAAAGAGAAAAATAGAGGGAAACTGGCCTAGAACGACAGAGGCAGGGAAACAGGGCTAGAAAGAAAGAAGGATGGGGGAAAAGAAAAGAGCCCAGCATCAAAGAGAAGCTGGTTTTGCCTGGAGTGGCCAAGTCTACCTGACACAGGCACAATCTCTGATCTCATCCACATGGCCAGGAGCTGGAAGTACTAAAATTAGAATCCAAAGTGTTCTAGGCTGGGCACGGTGGCTCACGCCTGTAATACCAGCATTTTGGGAGGCTGAGGAGGGTAGATCACCTGAGGTCAGACCAGCCTGGCCAGTGTGGTGAAACTCTACTAAAAATACAAAAAAAAAAAAAAAAAAAATTAGCCAGGCATGTTGGTGCATGCCTGTAATCCCAGCTACTTGGGAGGCTGAGGCAGGAGATTCGCTTGAACCTGGGAGGTGAAGTTTGCAGTGTGCTGAGCTCGTGCCACTGCACTCCAGCCTGGGTGACAGAACGAGACTCTGTCTCAAAAAAAAGAATCCAAGGTGTTCTTACTGAGAAGACAGCAGCCGTGGAGTCCCTTGCCTCGGCCAGCCTGGGGACCCCAGGTCCTTCCGCCCTCAGAACAGTGCCTCTGATTCAAGTCTTGCAGGCATCTGCTGGACATGGGCACCTGCTTGGAAACACTTGCAGTTGCCGGCACCTGGCCACACTCTCCACCTGGGCACCGACCAGGGGACCTCTCTCCTGACTGCCAGGGGCCTCTGTGTTCTGTGACTGCTCTGATCCCAGGTAATGTTTTCTTCTTTGCAGTAAAGGTATTTCATGCAAAGTCTTGAAGTCATAAAATGTAAAATTTTTAACATAAAATACACTTATAGACCAAAAAACAGATCCATTGCCTGACCATATGTAACTATTTTTATTACTATTGTTGCCATGCAAAAGTAGCTGGCACAGAGGAAAGTCTTAGGAGGCTGCAGGGCATGGAGAGGAGTGTTGAGAGCAAGGTGGTGGGCAAGACTGCAAGTAGGGGCGTCTACTGGAGCTACGGAGGGAGCACTTCTCCAGGCAATAGGTCTCTAGGGAGGGCCCATCAGGTTTCCAACTATGGCCTCACAACAAGCCTACAGGGTCTCCTGCGAGAACTCTGCTGGCCAGGCATGGAGCTGGGTGGTCAAAGAATACACAAGGGAGATAAACCCACAAACCCAAGTCCAGGTGTGTTAGATCCTGGCTACAGCACCTTACAGACCAAAGCAGGCCTCCTTCTCTGCTATGCCCCAGATCCGCTATGCCCCAAAGGCTTTGCACAGGAAACTGGCCTCCAGTGCCTCCCTGCCCCACATGCCCGCACAGAGGCCCTCCCAGGGCTGGCCACAGGCCCTGGGTTCCAGCTCACACATGTGGACCACCCCCAAGTGGCTCTTCTCTGTGAAGGCCAGTGGCCACCCAGGGCTACTGACCCAGGGAGCAGCAAGGAGGTGGGCCTGCCCTTCCCTCTTCCTCATTCTTTCTTGGCAAATGGAAGCACTTCTCTTGGCACAGCATGAACAGATCCCAACACTGGCTCTTCCAGATGTCCTGACCCTCTCCACAGCCATACTGGGATGAGGCCCTGGTGGCAGCCCCCGAGCCACATGCCTGTCTCAGGGTCTGCGCTCCCCTTTCCTGAGCCCAGGGTCAGCTGAGTAGTTCTGCCTGAGACCACATTAATGTGTTGGGGAAAACATCAGGAGGGTGGGCCTGGCAAGACAGAGATCTGTGATAGAAACAGTGGGTTTTCTGGGCCCCTGGAATTCTGAGCTGTTTCAGGCAGACAGACTTGGACATGCATCCTGGCTCTTCAAGTGGATCCACTGCGCCACCTTGGGCAGTCACTCAGCTCCTCTGGACCTCTGTAAACGGGGGACAGGACTCCCTACGTAGGTATTACTGTAAAGATTAAAGGCATCAAATGCTAAAACAGCAGCTTCCTTCCCCTCCAAGTTGATAAATTCTAGCACTCCCAAAAATCTACTCACAGAGGCCCTTAGAGCCCAGGAACCCTGTGACACTGTTTCTCGGATATGCCCCTGCCTGCCAGGGCTGCTGGCTTACTCATACCCACACGCCACCCTGCACCTTGACTCTGGGAACACAGGGCCGCAGTGTCTCTGCTTCCACTGGCATCTTGAAATATCAGCAGCCAGGGCAGCGCCTGGAGGCCCCTCCCTGCCCCGGGGCCTGCTGAGAGCCATGGGGGACCCGCTAAGTACTGCAGTTACACAGAACAGAAAGCCTTCGAAGAGCTATCCGGCTCTAAATGCAGGCTGCAGGGATGTTGCCAGCAGAAAGAAACACAGAGTTCTTCAGAGAATCCAGACACAGGTTAGACAGGAAGTTGCTCCCAATGAATGAGTTGGAGCCTGGCAAGGTGGTTCCTCAGGCCCCTCTAGGCCCTCAACCCCTTGGATACTCACCCCCATGCCCCAGCTATGTGTGGCTTGTTGTGAATTAGAAAAACTAAGTTCAGACCCCACCCACCTCCTCAACCAGGCACTCTTGGACAGTGAACAACCTGTACAACTGAACAGGTAACCCACTAGTGGTGCACCCCAAAGCACAAATTTTCTCAAAATGTATCTAAACTTCTACCTCACATTTACTGAAGGCTCCTCCATGACTGACTCTGTGCTGCAGACGAATCAGAACCAGATGGGCCCTTGAGGAGCTCAGGGTAAAGTGAAAGACTCCCATAGTGAGGTGGGAAGGAAGGGCTTCACTCTCAACGCTGCCTTCTCCTCGGCAAGGCCGCTCCAAAGGGCATTTGTCTACAGACCAGGGATTCAAAGAACAGAAGCAGACCCCAGCAATGAGCTGCAGCTTCTGGCCTGTACAGCATGCAGATGTACGCATTGCCAGCGGTCTGTGGGCTTGTAGTGCACTTGCCATCGGAAAAGGGCTGGGCTGGGAACTGTGTGTATCTGAGTCACTGAACTGCCCCTCCTGATGGCAAAGGTCTGAACCTGAAGCAATTTCCAGGTAACAGAGAGATTAAGTGTGAATCCTCATTCCAGGGGCCTGGGTTGGCTGGGACCCAGGAAACCTGCCACGGAGGAGTCTAGAAAAGCCCAAACGCACTCTTGCTCTTTCCTGGCCTCTGCTGTCCTGGAGGCTGCAGACCAAATCTTACCTTCCCGCTTTCCTGTAGCATCCCAAGAAACCACAATGCAGCCAATGTAACCTCAACTGTGTGATCCAACTCGGGATTGGCCAGGAATATTTTCTCCACTTCCAAAGCCAGAGGAGCCCTTGCTTTCATGGGCATGACCGCACAGCCCAGCATTTCCAGAGAGGGCAGCTGCCTCCTCGCAAGGTCCTGGGGCCCCGCTGCAGCCACACACAGAGCCTCCCTTCATGCTGCAGCTTGGCTGTTCTTGGCATCTGCTTCATTCCTCTCCTGACCTCACCTGTGCCTGCCTCACCTGTTCAACCATGTGCTGCTGTGGCCTCATTTCCTCAAAGGGCCTGGGGCACAATCCTCTCATGGCCTGGAGGCTTCAGCATACCTCTCCATCAGCGCCTTTCCCCTTGGAAAATTCATGGTTTTTACTTCCCGCACTTAGCTCCTCAAGTTAAACCCTACGCACAGGGGTCCTGTAGGGAAAGGACATGAACCTTATGCTCTAGAAATAAAACTTACATTCCTCTACCTGGCACGTCATCTGTTTCCGTAGAATTTGGATAGGGGCATCACTGGAGCAATGAGAAGAAATACTAAAAAGAACTAATATTTATTGAGCACCTACTGTGTACTAGTTTCTGCTATAAGTACCTTATATTTATCTTTTTTTGTTTGTTTGTTTTTGTTTTTTTGAGACTGAGTCTTGCTTTATTTTCCAGGCTGGAGTGCAGTGGCGCAATCTTGGCTCATTGCAATCTCCACCTCCTGGGTTCAAGTGATCCTCCTGCCTCAGCCTCCCAAGGAGGTGGGATTACAGGTGCCCACCACCACGCCTGGCTGATTTTTGTATTTTTAATAGAGATGGGGTTTCACCATGTTGGCCAGGCTGGTCTCAAACTGCTGACCTCAAATGATCTGCCCACCTCAGCCTCCCAAAGTGCTGGGATTACAGGCGTGAGCCACCGCACTCAGCCATGTTTATCAACTTTTAATCTTTACAGCAATCTAACGTGGAAGATCACAGCAGAAGAGGAATCTGAGATACAGAGAGATTGAGTCATTTATCTGGGGTCACAGAGCTGGGATGTGACGGAGCCAGTGCAGTGGTGTGGTAATAAATGTTTAATGGCCAGCTGGGGGACGGCGGATCTGTAGCATTTGCCAATTTCCGTGGTGTAAATACTCCCATCATGGCTGTTCTCAAACTACCAGTGTGTCATCATGGAATGCAGGCTTGGGAAGAGACAGGCAGCAGCTCAGCATCGCATGGTTTTTCCACCATACATTAGGTGTAAATTGATGGCAAGAACGTAAAGTGAAATGTACTAAGATATGAGGAAGTGAGGAGTGGTATCTATTACCTTTGTTTTTAATACAATGTATTTAATTATAAGTTTATACCATTTAATTTTTAATAATGATTGTGTTTGACCATCAGCCCACAAAACTGCTGAATATTTAACAGTGAGCTCTCCTGAGCTGGTTTGAGCTGGTTCCAGCACACCATTGGGACCAGGATTTCAATTCAGTTAGTCTGGAGCTAGGGTTTTCCCTCTTAACCCCAACACTGCATTGCCTCCCAGAAGGATATAATGCTCCCCAAGCCAGAGCTGCCTCCATGGCTCAACCAGGGCAAAAATGTGGCAGAACCAGTGCTCTCCTGGTTACCTCTTCCCAGGCCCTTCTTTCTGCCTCTTTTCCCCCAAGGGCTCCCCTTTAACTACTTCCAATCCCCTCAGGTTAGCTCAACCAACATTTATTAAACACCCACTCTGTGTCACTGGGGACACAGAGATGACCTTGGACTCTAGGACCTCATGATCTAGGAGAAAAAATAAGCAAATATTCAAATCCAACAGATTGTAAACCAGTCAGGGGCATGAGACAGAGAACAGCTGCAAGGAGAAAGACTAATTCCCCCAGGGAGAAGTCAGGGATGCCTCCACACAGAGGGGGATACCTGAGCAGGGTTTTAAAGGATAAATAGAAGTTTGCTAAGCAGACCAGGGTTGGGGGAAGCAATACAAGAATGACTAGATCTGAGGTGTATACATAGGTAAAAGTTTTCCAGATGTAGGAGGGGACTCAACAATGAAGAGCAGGAGGGAAGAACTGAAGATACGCTCCATATCTTGGCTTGGTGGGGGGTGCCTGCCTAAAGAGACATGAGGATAAGCAGGTTTAGAGTGTGATGCTGTCTTTGATTTTGCACGTGCTGCTGTGTGGTGCCTGCGGGAATCCAAGACGGGCACCAAGGTAGGGCACTGAGACTCAGACTTGGGAGCTGTTGGAGAATGGGCGATAAGAGAATGATGGGAAGGCAAGGAACAGGAGAAAATGCAAGCTGAGAAGAGGGAAGTCGGCTTCAAAATATGTTTATGATAGACTCTAGGAGAGGCATGGAGGGGGTCAAACCACTGAGTGGCCTCCAGAGGCTGGGCATGGGCCCTTGGACGATGATGTCAGGAAGACCAAAAGTTCCTTCCTACAGCTTTCTCCTGTGCCGAGGACAAGGATGGAAGCTGACCTGGGGGATGAGAGGTCTGACTCTGTGCAGCAATTCTTCCACCTTATTTTTTTCAGAACCAAGACATGGGTCTTGGTCTTTTCCCCCTCCACCACCACCTTAAACTTTGCCCAAGTGTTAGATCTACACAAGGTGTTCTGAAGGCAGGAGTTAGAAAGCTGAAATTCTAGGCCGGGTGCAGTGGCTCACGCCTGTAATCCCAGCACTTTGGGAGGCTGAGGCAGATGGATCACGAGGTCAGGAGATCAGAACCATCCTGGCTAACAGGATGAACAGTGAAGCCCCTTCTCTACTAAAAATACAAAAAATTAGCCAGGCATGGTGGCAGGCGCCTATAGTCCCAGCTACTTGGGAGGCCGAGGCAGGAGAACGGCGTGAACCTGGGAGGCAGAGCGCGCAGTGAGCCGAGATTGCGCCACTGCACTCCAGCCTGGGCCACAGAGTGAGACTCCATCTCAAAAAAAAAAAAAAAAAAAAAGAATGAAAGAAAGCTGAAATTCTAGATGCAATGAGCGACACATAACATCGGGGTGAGGAGTGCAGGCACACACCCAGACAGCCTCTGTGCAAATCCCAGCTTTGTCAGCTGTGTGACCTTGGGCAAATGACTTAACGTCTCTGTACCTCAGTTTCTTTACCTGTGAAATGGGGGATGATAATAATACCTACTTCCTAGGATTGTTGTGAGGAAGTGATGATTTCATACATGAAATATTCTTAGGACAAAGCCTGACACACAGTAAATGCTCAATAAATGTCAATTACTACAACTATTACTATTACAATCGCCCATCTCTGGCCTTACACTTTATATTTAGCTCTCCTATCCCCCCTCAGACACTTTTCTTACATCAAATCCTAAAATGATTCCCCAGAGAATTAGGTGGCTTGGAGAAGAGCATCTGAACACCAGTATCTGGCTCTGAAAATGGTGCTGGCTGCACGGCTTCTGCATATTCAGCAGCTGGAGGTCATTCCTCAAACTGAATCAGACCTGAGCACTTTCCAGCCCGTCTGGAGGTCAGGCAAGCCACGGAGGCAGTGAGTGTGTGGTGTGTAGGTGTGCATGCATGCATGGTGGGGCTTGGGAGGAATACCACACTACAAGGCAGCTGCAGTGCTAAATTGCATGGAGCAGGGCTCGGAAAGGTGAAAACCAGAGCTGCTTTCTAAAGCCAGGGTCCTGAGCTCACCCCTGAGCTTCTGAAGGCTCACCCCCTGGGATTCTCCATACACCCCACCAAGGGAAGGCTCTGTTGCAGAACTGTCACCCATGGGGTGCAGTGCCAGTGAGTGCCTGTAGGGGGCTCTAGAGCTCTTCCATTCCCCGTACCCGGGGCTGTGAGGGCATCAGGCTTAAAACAATGGTTGTGTTTACCAAGGCTGTGCGACTGTGCTGTTCTGAGAGGTGAATGAGGGGAAGCTGGGGTCCGCTGGTACCCTGTTGGCGAGACCCGGTTCATCCATGCTCTCAACTAGCTCTGCTTCAGGTTTGGAGTCCTAACCCTCCCTGATCCACCACCTAACACTGATTTGGGCTGCTTCCCCTCAGCCTCCTGGGAGACCCTCACAAGGGTCAGCCTCCTGTCCTTGTGTGGGGAGGTAGGGAGAGCTGCTGCTTTGGCCTCCAGGGTGGGGCAAGGGTAACTTCCAGTTTCTGGGGTCTCAGGTTCTGGCAGTCCAGCACCCCAACCCGTTTGTCAGGGAAACATCAGGCACAGACAGGTTCCCAAAAAGACTTGACTTACCCTGTTCCTCCCTAAGGCAAAATTCAGTAGCCCTGGGTGCTGTTAGGAGACCTCATTCAGCAGATTTATTTACTTAATTGTAACTCTATCAATATATCTGGTCGAGGGAACTTACCCACTGCCATATCTAAGGGCACGGCCAGCCTAACACATTCATATTGGTAAAATGTTAAAGATGGTCATTTGGAGGCAGAGGCAGGCAGATCACCTGAAGTCAGGAGTTTGAGACCAACCTGGCCAACATGGTGAAACCCCGTCTCTACTAAAAATACAAAATAATTAGTACCCAGGTGTGGTGGCACACACCTGTAGTCCCAGCTACTCAGGAGGCTGAGGCAGGAGAATCGCTTGAACCCGGGAGGCAGAGGTTACAGTGAGCCGAGATCGTGTCACTGCACTCCAGACTGGGTGACAGAGTGAGACTCTGTCGCAAAAAAAAAAAAAAAAAAAATTAAAAAACCGAACCTAGAATTAATCTTTCGGGCTTGGTCAAAAGCAGAAAAAAAATAAGAGCAATGTGTTTCTTATCAGACTATTTTAAGAAAAACAGTCATGGGTAGATAGGGTTGCCAGATTTAACAAGCATTGCATAGGATTTACTTATACAAAAAAAGATACTCACATTTATGTAAAATTCACATTTAACTGGGTATCCTGTATTTTACTGGACAGCCCTACTGAAAATATAGGGATTCGTTCAGAGGAAAATTTCCTATTCATCCTCTCCATCCCAAACTGTAATTCCTTCTTTAATCCCCTTGTGTTACATATTGACACGCGAGCCATATTGATCACATTAAACAAAGTAGTCAGTTCAAGCACCCCAGTCTCACTGTAGGGAAGACTATAATTGTGAGATTATGTCAAAGGAATAAAAAGTAATGCCCCAAAGATAACATCAAAAAATTAATAACACTGGACATTTAATGCACACCTACTATATGCCTGGTGCTTGTCCTCTGACTAAATCTTCAAAACAACCCTGGGAGGTAGATACTATTAGTGGAAACTGAAAAGAGAATCTACACATCTAATTTCTGTAGTTCTGGGAAAAGCATGTAAATTTCTGGTCAATTACTTCCTGAGAAAGAAAGGGGAGGGAAACCAAGAAGGACTCCATCCCATCAACAAATGGGCTTATTCATAATGCAAAGGCCAGGTCAGTTGCTATTTGGTTATATGCCACTTACACAGGAAACTGTCTTAATTTCAGTGAATTATCACTGGCTTGGAGTACGGGATGGTGGGAGAGCAGTGGGTAGGAACCCCGTAACAGTCAGCAGTAAGCTGGCCTTAACAACTGAGGAAGATGTGTTATACTCAGGATAATCAACAGCTCATTTGCCATGAATAAAGGCATCGCTCAAGCCACCCCCAAACACTCGGTGACAGTGACACACAGATTCCAAATGTTCTCTGTAAGAAAAAACACCCTTTCTCCTAATCCTTCTTAAACTCAACAAGACTGATTGGTTTTTATTATTCATGAATTAATTTTTTACTCAGGGTCCAACAAGGGAATTGAAGATATAAAATTTCTCACCGATTGAGGGGGAAAGCAGATCTCAACCTAAGCAGCACAGCCAGAGTCTTGCTTGCATTCCTTGGGGGTGGAATGATTTGTTTGTAAAATCAGTTAATAATCAATTAATAATCCAAAGCTTTGAGGTTTGGTTGTTTTTTTTTTTTTTTCCTGAGGAAAAGAAACTATGAGTAAGAACATGAATAAGAATATTGAGATGGAAAAAAAATACAGACAGCTATGGGACCCTGGAATATTAGGTGAAGCAGAGCTGCTTCTTCGTTCCACGATACATATACAAAAAAGGAAATGAGAGAGGAAATAACAGAAGCATTGATGGATTCTAAAGTAACGCACAGATGAGCATGGTCTGTAGGTGAGCAGGCTTCAGGTCTGGGAGTCGCCATGAAGCATCACAAGAAGGGACATGGAAATTCAGAGAGGTCAGTTCCCTGATGACCTCCCTCTAATCACCTCCATAGTGCAGGTTGAGGTACTCAGGAGCAGGGACAACGGCCTCATAGAAGCCAAATGGCCAAGAAGGCGATCAAGGGTGGAGAGATGACTTTGCCTCTCTCTTCACACAGTTCTTCTCCCAGATATTCACATGCGCCAAGTCATAACCCCCCCTTGTCCTCTCTGTGCCTTTGGTCTGCAAACCTGTCATGAGAATGCAGCCAGAGGAACCAAGGAGCAAGGGGAAACTGGGAGGCAGAGCATGGCACGGGGCATAGAAGCCGGCAGTAGTGGGGTCAAACTTGGCACAGCATCACTTACAAGAAACACTTCTCCCATCTTCGTTCAAAGGCAAAGCACCCAGCTTTTCTCAGGGGGGCCAGGTGGTTAACACCGTATTCTCCTCTACCTGCCTGTTCGTATTCAGAGACCAGGCAGTTTTTGCTCCTGGGTGAATTCAGACACGCAAACCTGCAGCCTTTGCATGTTTATGTTTGCACGAAGATATTTATGTTTGGGAGCAAGAAACGGTCACCCTCATCCAGCTACTATGAGAAAAATGGTTACGAGAATTGCTTTGCGCTTTTTGGGAAGAAAAAGGTACAAGCTGTGATTACTGTAATCACAATTATTATAACCATCACATTAAAATTGCTACTATTTCTGTAAAAGCAGTGTTCTTTCTGCCAAAGCTTGTTAGCTTGACTGCTTAGGTAGACAATGTCAACAAACCCAAGAGACAAATGACAAAGAGTGAAGCTAAAAGTAAGAGGATAAATACTGCGCTCTGCATGCTGAAGTCCTGTTTCACCATCAAAAGGAAATGTTTTCTGCTGATCGATTAGGAAGACAAAAACAAAAGCATACAACAGCTCATTTACTGTGCATCACCAAGATCCCAAACTAGGGTTCCAAGCATAGGCGGTGAGATGAGGGGAGGGATTTAAAAATTGGTTTTGCATAAAGTTTAGTGCTTCTTCATATCCTCACCCATACCTGCAGCCCCTATCACCACGCGCCTCAGATAACAAACAGACCACCTGAAATTTGTCTGTAAACAGCAGGTCTACACCCTTCTTGTTTTTTTCACCAAAACGTGAGCCAGCCAGCGGCCATGAATAAAGGTATTGATGGCTGAATCAGAACAGGGGGGCCAATTATAGGCATTCTGCTTTGGGACTTTACCCAACTAATCATGCTCAGCACCTCTGAACAGCTCAGCCAGCCATACAGACACACACACACTCACACTCAGGCAGACCACACACCTACACTCCTTCCTCCAAAACAGTCAAGGAGGGACAAAAGGACAAGGGCAAACTACAGCAAGCTGGAATAAAAATAGAGGGGAAAAAATGAAGACAAAGGAAAATGCTAAATTGTAAAACACGAGAGAAATCTCATCTAAAAGATCACGCTTCTTCACCCCTTCCATCCTCTCCTATAGCATTTCCTTACACCTGTATTTCCTTGTTCTTTGCCCTTCAGAAACCAAGAACACATCAAAAGGCCAATGATTCTCAAAGACCCTTTATCAGGCATCATTTTTAAAGCATAAGCCAGATGAAAATGCCAAAAAAAAAACCAATAAAAATTTCAAAATGAATTAACAAAAAGAATAAAACATAAAAACTAATTTATGAACTCAAGCCAATTCAAGCCATTAAAAATAAAAGAACCAAGTTAAAACCACATTTGGTATTTGGGGTTTTTAAACTCATCGTTTCCTTGATAGAAAAGATTGAATTCAATTTGACACTTCACATTCGTACAGTTTTAAATGCAGGATTTTGGTAAACACCAATGGTCAGGCACAAGGCTGACTGCCCCTATAATTGGTAGGAGAGGTCTCTGATACGATTTTAAATAAAAATTGATCACATTTGAAATCAGAAGATAAAAACAAAGGCTTGTTGGAGTTTGTTTAACTGCCTTCTGACCTCTGAATGAAATGACATTGAGAAATATAATAAAATTTTCCAGAAAACCATTCCCTGAAAAGGTTCAGTCCCGGGGATGCTGAATGACAATATTGAATAGAGTATTTTAAAGTCCTAAGGAACAAAGGAAAGACATTTTTTTTTTAAAAAAGAAACTTTCAGACCAAAATGTGTATAGGTTTAAAAGCACAGCAAAATGAAATGAAAAAATTCTATCTCTGAGCCCCAGGAAAACTTTTGTTTTAGATTTATACAATTTTAACTCAAACTCAGACAATTCTGAATTTAAAACATTTGGCCAATAATTTTTTTCCACCTAGTCCAACTCCATAGTGAACATCCCATGGGCTGATTAACCAGTATGATTTTCCTTGATTTAAGAAAAGAGTTGACTCTTTAAGCCACAACCTGTCAATGGCTATTTCCAGGGAGAGAAGGGGAAGTCGGGAACCTGGAACAGAATGGCCCAAATTCTCCTCTGAGTGTGGCCATCTGTTATCCTGGAGAAGGGCAGGACTTCCTTCTCTCCCTCTCTGGGGTCTGCCCCACCCCTACCCAGGCCAGAAAATTGCAGAGAGGCTCTTAAGACTGAAATCCTCTGGGCAAACCAGAGGGACAGCCACCTAGCAGGTGCCCCTGCAGTCCCCTTTGCACCATGGACGAACCAATCCCAAGGCACGGCAGCCCCTGCTGGAATGTGGTCACAGCCAGACCTCAGCCCAGCCAAGGGGTATAGCAGTCAGCAGGAACATGTTTAAATAGCAGAGACCCCTGTCCACTGTCACCCCATCTTAAAGGGGACTACCCACCGGAACACATTCACACATGTGCACACACAGGTTTCCCACGGTGGAAACTCTCTTGGGGTGGACACGGCTTTTGATGTTTCGAGGTTCAGAAACATCCTCTACAACAGGGGCTTTATTGGCAGCACAGAAGGGCTTGACACTCTGTTAAGCAATGACTTATAAAGAAAGGTCCTGTTAGGACCCTTGATGATATTAATCCTGATCAGTACAGAAGGGCACCTTAGAGAGGCAAATACAAGTACACTCATAGGAGGGAGGGAAAAGACCGTGCAGCTCCATGTTCCCCACTTGTCTGGTGTTTTTGTGTCCTTTTGTTGGATGGTTAACTGGTGAGGTCTCTGTTCTCAGAAACAAATTGAGCCTGTGCTCTCCTATGACCAGGCTCCCTACCCAAAGCAGTCCAGCTCTGTGGAACACCTGCTCAGAGTCCAGGAGCCAGCGAACAGTCACCTCCCCAAAGCTGGCTCTGAGAAGAAGCTGATGAGATGGGTGAATACAAGCTACTGCCCGCTGAGCCCAGGAGCACCAGATGGAAGTCACAATGAGTCCCTTTAGAGCCACAGAACTGACCAGCATGCACTCACAGTCCTTCCGTCACATCCTTCCAGTATGGCCAGGAACACGAGAGAAGAAATGGCCCAGCACAGCCTGCTGCCCAGGGTGACAGTGTCTCAAGAGGCAAAGGTCACTAGCCCAGTGCCCTGGGGAAGAAAAAATCCTCCCAACTACGGATCTCTCCCAGTCATTGCCCTGACAACCCCTCCACGGAAGGTGTCTGGTCCCAGGACAGCCCTGCCATTATTAGAGAAGGTCAGCAGCCTCACCAGTGGCAGGAGGCAGGCTGGCCCGGTGAGGGTTAATCTGCCGGGCCAGCCATTACAGGGGTCACCGTGAAGTGCAGAGAAGTTGAGCCTCCCAGTCCCCCAGAGCTGGTCTGCTAATTACATTTGCAATTATAAACACCACAACCTCCCCGCGCAGGGACGAAGCCATACCAGCTGACGGGGCTAAAAGGATATAATCCCACCCCACCCATGCCAGGGGACAGGGGACATCAGGGCCACCCAAAGCCTATGGGCCTCTCCTCTGAGGGAAGACCATGTCTGTGACTGTCCCCAGAGGTCTAAGGCTGCTGGGGCTGAGGAAGGGGAAACTCACCAGAGACAGAGACCAATCAGGGGTCACCAGTGCATACATGCTAAAAACGTCTTTGATTTATCTCTAGAAATCGGTGAAAGCCTTCAAGGGCAAACAGGCAGGATGTTCAGGAAGATTCCGGGCCAGATTTGGCTAGTTCCAGCCCATTCTTAATTTGTACTCTCCTGGCTTCCTGGGGTCCTTCCTTAGACCCTGCACTGGCAGCACCTCTAGGGGCTGTAGTGTCACTGGAGGACCCCAGAGGTTGAACATTCAAGTCAAGCTGGGGCTCCCCACCCCAGTAACATTCAGTCAAGAGCCACCAGACTCTACGACAGAAGCTCCCAGGGGAGCTGTGCGGCATCCTCGCTAATTCTGGGCAGAGCTCCTGCTCAGCAGGAAGAGCATTACGAGGGTCTCACTTCAGAAAGAAATGGACAGAGACTCGATGATGGCCGGTAGGTGTTGGGGAACACCAGAATGGAGGCAGTCAAGGTGTGGTGTGGGCTTTACTTTGAAGGAGGACATTATGGTCTAAATATCTGCTATCTCTTCCCTTAAATTTGGAACCAAAAAGAATTTTAATCATTTTTAAGAAGTCGCTTAAAGGACTTGGGGAGACAAGTTCTAGAGAAGGGCGCTGCAGAGTCAGGCCAAAAGCATCCTGTTTCTTGCTTGTCTACTGTCTTCGAATTCTGTCTCCTTCTGAATCCTATGCATTCATGGCCAACTCCACCGCCCTCCCCAATGTACATGCTCCCTCAATGTCTCTCTGTCACACGCATCCTTCCTCCGGCCCATCAGAAGTAGGCAGATCTTTGCTCAAAAGAAACAAGGCATTCAGCAGAGGGCTGAGGAAGGGGACAAACTTTCTCAATGAGTTTAGATTATCTTTAAAAACCACTTGGCAAAATGTCCAGTTATCAGGAATATGAATGGAGCACACGCAGGACAAAGTTATAAGGGCCCCCGAGCTAGGGCCAGGGGTGCTCTGAGAAGGCAGGGTGTGACATGAAATCTCTGTCACCGCCACCTCCTTTGAAGTGCTTTCCCCGAAAGTCCCCTCTGCCCCTCCTCTCCCAGACTAAATGGAATATTTATTGATTACTCCAAATCAATAGAATAAAAAGATTCCTGTTTTGTGGCCAGGTTGTTTCTCTGTGCTTTTTTTTTTTTTTTTTGGAACAGATCTTTTTCATATGTCCTCATTATCAGCAAAATAAAGGATTGTTTCTAAAATGAAAAGGGTTGGGGGAAGTAACAAACTCCAAGAGGAAATTTCCAGTGATGTCAGGATCTCACTGAGCTGGAAAGGGCCTTACCCGGGACCGGGGCCCTCCAGCGTTGACCTAATGTCTCCTCCCAGTTCATCGCCTTCAGGCCTGAACACCTCCCACCTCCTATCACCCATCCTCTTCCATGGCAGCGCACACCTCCAGAAGGCTGACAGGCACATAAAGGTTTATTTCCTAGAGCCCCTCCCTTGGAAAACCGAGACTGATGTCCTCACTCTGATTTATTTTTAAATGTACCATTAAAAATTAATTTCCCCCTTTGTTTTTCTCCGGGTCACTGACTCTGAATTACCATGTGGCATTTTTCCTACGTGTGAACCCACATATTTTACCTTCAGGACAATTTGTTCTTTGTTTCTTTAACAACAGCAAAGTGGTCATCGGACGGTGGGGAAGATAGCCCCCCTTGCTCTCTGGACTGTTTGCCGTGGGTCTCCAGCTGGTCCAGTCATGGACCCATTTGTACACAGGCACACACAGGCGAGCACGCTGCCTCCCACTCTGGGTGATTATATATGTACATAAAATATTGATTAGAATGGGTAATGGAGTCACCTACAGGATTGGCTACAGGAAAATGAAAATGAAGGAGAGCAAGGTAGGAAGGTACGTATGTTTCTCTCTGTGTGTGTTCATTTCTCACCTGGGAAAGTGAGAATGATTCTACAGCATTAACAAATGCTCTCTATGTGTTAGAAGCAAAAGGGAGGACCAGAGAGTTCCTCCTCCCTCAACTCTAGTCCCTGTGCCCTTGGGTTTTCTCAAGTCTGGGAATGTCAGCCAATCCACAGGGGTCAAAACAGTGAGCAGAGCATACACGAACCCACTTACTGTATGTTCCCTGGGAAATGCCGGCACTATAATGAATGGCTTTGTCCTACTATCCTTCTACCAAACCAAAGAATCCAGTCCCCTGCTCTGTTACTTTACTACCCATGGCTCTAAAGCTGTGTCACAAAGCCATGGGGTAGAGGTCAGAAAGATGTCTCCCCAGACACCAGCCCCAGACCTCCACAAGCTCGTCCTTGAAATGATGCCCCTCTGCGCCACAGCACATGCAGACCCTCCCTAGGCGGCACATATATGTATAAGAGGCCAGCTCATCAATGCCTGGGCTGCTGCCCAGTGGGTCCTGGGCTTTGAGAAATGACATCTGACAGGGGTGCTCAATTCCTCGGTGGAGACAGCAGGTATATTTTTGGCTTTTCCTGTGCCCCATGGAGGGACAAGCTAATTCTTTGCAAAAAAAAACCGGAAAGGGTTGGGGATCTAAACCTCTGTCAGGCTTAGTTTATAAATGATTTCTATCTCAAACCTTTCCCAGACCCCCAGGACCTCAGCTCCCTGACTTCCTTCTGCTGCTTCCCTGACATTGCCTTTTTGCCCATATTTCTCCTCAAACTCCAGTCAGGGCTGCCGTCAACTCGATGAATTACCCAGCTGTTAAAGCCTCCATCTCACTCCTTGCTTTCCTGGTAAGCATAATCAAAGAATGTACTTCCTTCATACGAATTTTCATATTTATTGACTATGACTTGAGCCAGGGACAAATACATAAGTATTTCGTGCTCAACTAAAGAAGTCACCTCTGGAGAGAGGGAGCCTTAATAATTTAAATATCCAATATTTGTCATACTTGATCATTTTATGTAAGGAAATGCTCCACAAGCACCAAATACTGTCCACAGCCTCACTAACCTCAGGTGCTCCCACCCCATCCCCACCCCAGCTAGAATCTAACCTTTAAAAGGAATGAAAGCCACTTTTCAAGCTGATGGAAATCGGAATCCATTATTATTAAGGATTCCTCTCCCAGACCAGCGCCTTCTGCCGACATTCTGGTGGCATCTAAAAGGCCCTCTGCCCCAGGGTGGAGTGGGGAAAATCCCCAAACTAGAAGCAGGAACAGTCTGGTCAACAACACAAGCCATGCTGTGGACAGCTGCCCTCTCTCTCAAGCGGGGTGCACCGTGGTGGAGGTGCTCCATGCAGCCAGGAGAGGGGTTAGGTACTTCCTGGGACCCCACATGATCCAGAGTATTTATTTTAGAGATGTAGTCGTGGTTCTTGGGGGGAGGGGGAGAGCGAGTGGTACACAAATGAAAGCACGGTGGAACTGGAGAAACGCTGACTTGGAGAATTTAGTTTGCGTCAGAAAAAAAAGAGGAAGACGAGCACAAAGTTAAGCAGGAAAGCTGTCCGTAAGAACCTAGAGTTTTATGTATTATTATTATTAAGCCTTCCGAGGGACCACTTTGCACGCGCACACAACCTGCCTCCGGGACACCCGCCGGGGGCGCCGTGGGGTGCGCAGCGCCCAAGGGGAGACCCGGGCAGGTACCCGAGCAGGTGGAGCGGCGACCGTGGAGGGTGTCGGGAGGGAAACCGTAGGTGGATAGAGTGGGATCCCCGAGAGCCCGGACATGACACGCGGGTTGACCACCCGCTGCTTAGGCGATCAGTTCACTTTCCCACTCTGCGCTCTTGGCGCGCTGCCCCGGGGCTGGAGACCCGCGGTTTCTGAGAGTCGCTTCTCGCGGCGCCGGCTGCCGCCCGCGCCCACGCCGCTCGGATAACCCCAGGTTCTGGCACCGCGAGCGCAAAGCCGCCTCGGAGCAGGGAAATGGTGCCCTTCTGTTCCGCTGGTCACAGCCTCCCCCAAAGCCGAGAACGAACTTTGCCTACGACGCAGCGCTGGGCCCGCATCCCCCGGGCGCCCTGGATCCGCCGCGCCACGTGCGCACCCTCGGGGCGCCCCACGGAGACCGCGAGGCGAGAGCGGCACTGGCCGCCTGCAGTTTCCAAACCGCCGCGGCACGTTCGATTTTCTCTCTCTTGCCGGGATCATTTTTGGTCCCCAGGATGGAAATAATAAAACAAAGCGCCCGCGGGAAAGGCTTTCTCTGACGGGACAGGACATCCTTGCAACCACATCCCTGCACCTGTTCTGGGCTTCTGCCTCCCTTCTTGCTCCATTCCACAAAAACTCAAATATTTTCTCACCCCGGAGCAAGATCAGAGAGGAGAGAGAAAGGGAGAAAGTGCATGAGAAAGCGCCACTCTTGCCTGAAAGTGTGGATTTGTAAAAGGGGGTGCGGGAAAAAGTTAGAGGAGGGTTTATGCCCTAGAAAGAAACCCAGAAGTGTGCGGCTTTTCCCCTCCTTCGTCCCCCAAGTGCCCCCCCGAAGTCCCTTCCACTTTTACACAAGAATGTGCAGAAAAGGAACTGCGATCCCCAGGACAGAGACTGCCAGACGGGCAGAAGGACAGACAGACCGAGAAGCAGGGCACCTACTGGTTGTGGTAGCCGAGGGGGTCCGGGATGCAGAGTTCGGACACGTCCATCAGTCCCGTTTTAGCATTCCCAGTTGGTAGAGAAAGACGGCGGGGAAATCACGCGGAAGAGCGAGTGAAGGGCACGGGCAAGGTGCGAGCCCGGGCAGGGCACAGTGAGCGCGAGAACGCAGAGTGGGAGGAGGCGGCCGCGGCGGGGGAGAGGGAGGCAGAGAGCCGTGCGCGCACAGCCCAGCTCTCCACTCATCCGCACGCTCCGGAGAGAGCGGGCAGAGGGGATGCGAAGCCGTGGAGGAGGCTGGGGCACAAGAGACTTGGAGCCCACTAACCCTACTGTAGCTTTAAGGCTGGGAGACTGATGTATAGTTTGGCTCCTATTGGCTATCTCTCAGGGGCTGGACTTAAAGTGACAGAATCAAGCTGGGGTGGGGGGAGGGGGTGAGACAGAGAGACTTCATGGAATGAGACGCTCAGCGCGCGAGGTCCCCACCTCCTGAGCAGTAGGAGTACTGGGTGTTAGAGCCCTAAGGCCTGCCTTCTCGCAGTTAAAGGGGGGTGGGGGGGAATGTCCAACCGCCAGGTGGGTCTGGGGTGGGGGGAGATTTATTGCTTACATACCCCCCGGGCCACCCCTATCCCATCTTTTAACTGGCAGGTCTAGCAAACTCACCTCTCAGCCTTTCTGGAATGGATCTGTTTTCCAAATTAAAAATGAGTCACATTTCTCCACCCACGCACCAAAGAGAAGAGGCAGCCTCAAACCCTGCGCTGTGTGCGCAAAAGTGCAAAGGGTCAGGCCAGCAGGTGAGGCACAGCAAGAAGGCAGGAGAGAAACAGATTCCCTTCCCAGTTCTCATCACCTGGGCCAGTCAGTTCTGCACCACTCTCATATGGCTAGATGCAGGGTGCGCATCTATAAAACGTTCTCTCAATGTATGAAGTGATGCTCTAGTCATTGGCAGCTCTCTGAAATGTACCCAGGACACAGACATGAGCAAATAAATTCCTGTCTGCTTAGGAAAATACAATCGTGGTGAAAATGATCAACTTACCCGCCACATCCACTCCAAGGCACAAGTACACACTTTGAAATACACACCTGAATCCCCAGCTACAAACGCACCTGCATCCCCGTCCGCTGCTCCCTCAGTGAACCCGAATATTATGGGATGCCACTGTACCAAAATGAGCTGTAAGTCATGCCCCAGCCCTGCTTCTGGGTTTTTCATCTTTTGAGATGCACCAGCCACAGGGATAATAATCAATTTGATGATTCAAATGAGTGTGGGGAGGGGGGTAGGTATAGAATTATTTAAAAGGGGGGAAAAGCCCTCAGGAGACACCACCACCTTATTCTCCTATATTCTGCAGAAGACAATGAGCAGTAGGGGGGAAGACATAATTTTATCATCAAAATAATGTCTAAATGGAGTGTAACTGCAGGCAATGTTCAAGCACTTCAGGAATAAAGGCAGGGAGGGTTGTGAGAAACCCCAGGAGGGGCCAGCCGCCTGGGCAGGGGCTGGGAGAGTGGGCAGAAGGATCGCAGATGATTTTTGACTTGGATAAATGTGCTCGTGCAGGTTGGGAAACAGAGCTGAGATTTTTCATATGTGCTGAAGTGGAGGAACAAGTGGGATTCTCTGGGCGCAAGGCTCAGGAAGGCATCTCACAGAGAGATGGATGAAGATGTCTCCTCTGTCAGTAGCCCCCCAGCAGCCCCCGATTTTTAAAAATCACATAGGTACTTCATCAGAGACAGAAAGAGGGGTGCAGGGATGCTTCCCTTGAGCCTGGCTTCTATATGACCATCATCTCTCACCAGGACCTCAGTGACTGGTTTTTCGGCATCCTTTCTGCCCTGCTGAAATCCATTCTCCAGGCACACAGCAGCCAGGGAGCGATTTGTAAAATGCACATCCAATGTCCCGTTGTTGCAATTAGGAAAAAGGCCCCAGTCCTTGGCCTCCAAGGAAGGCATCCTATGACAGCTTCCTGCAGGTCCCTCTGTTCCTCTCCACAGCCCCTGCTGCTTTCCCTCTGGGCCCCAGTCTTTACATCTGCCACCTAGAAGGCCCCACCTTCCATATAGTGCCAGAATCTTCTGTGGTTCCTTTGCTTTGGGTAGTTTATCACAGTTTGCAATTGTCTGTGTACTGGCATGAGTGATAATTCCCTCCTCCACCCTTCCCTCACTAGACTGTAAGCTCCATGGGAGTAGGGACCATGTCTCTTTTTGTTCACCAGAGAATCTCTAGCATCTAAAGTTGCCTGATACATAACAGTTGCTTGATGAAGATTTTGCTGAATGAATGGTTAACCTGTAGGAGTTTGGAGTGGGGTGCCACAGCCTGCTGAGTGACAGGCCGCTGCCCAGGAAGAAGGTGAGGCAGTGATGGGTTGTCTGGGGCCCCTTGACTCCTTACTCTGTGTGGGTGCACCGTTTTTAACTGGAAACAAGACACACTTGGTAGAAATAAGGTCCTCTTCATGGTCTGAAAAGAAAGACCACATCACAGCCCAGAGCAATGGATTCAAAGCCACTGGGAGCAAATGAGGAGAAAGTGGGGTCTGCATTGGTTAGAACACTAGGCTAATGCTTGCCTACTATTATTCTCTGCCTCTAAGGTTCAGGCATGAAGGTGAACCAGAGCCTTATCTCTGGGCACTAGCTGATTGTCCTCCAGGCAGGAATGAACTCCTAGAGACCTAGGCCTTCTCAGCCTTCCTCTGCCTGAGCCTCCTCTCACACAGCCCTGGGGCCAAGTTCTTTCTCATTTCCTTTCTGACTCTGCAAGAGGAGAGATGAGGGCCAGCCGCCGGGACACCCTAGTGGCATGATCCAACTTGGCAGGCCCAGGCTCCTCCTGTGATTCTCCAGACAAACTTGCCTAGGTCCCACACTGTGCATGGGGCCCACATTTTTCCCATTCTGCCCTCAGCCAACTCACGGAGGATGGATTCCTTCCCAAAGCCAGGGTTAGGCTCCATGCCTCTGGCTGGAGAGGCAGCAGTATGGGACAGTAAAGGACTCTGGGATCGGGTCCTGACTCCTCCATGTGACCTTGCCAAAGTCATCTCTTCTCCAGAAAACAGAGGCTGTACAGGGGTGGAGTGGGGTGGGCAGGGTTCTTGGCTTTCTTCAGTCCTAAAATGCAGTCAACAAATCATGATTTATTTTACTGCTCACCTAGAGGAGGGGCTGTTTGTAATCCATGCTCAGCAAGAGCTCTAAGCCACCCCTTCACTACCCTCCACCCCAGTACTAGTACCCCCAGGTAGGCAAGTCAGCCAAAAGGAAAGTGGACAAAAGCTATTAGATGCAGTAAATGTGGAGGATGTAAGATGACAGCAGCTCACGTTGTTTTTGTGACAAATGCCTTTAA
Organism: Homo sapiens; assembly: GCF_000001405.40. Classification (NCBI taxonomy): domain Eukaryota; kingdom Metazoa; phylum Chordata; class Mammalia; order Primates; family Hominidae; genus Homo; species Homo sapiens. The sequence continues at coordinate 76,373,066 of NC_000014.9, read as the reverse complement.
ATTGATATTCATTACATTCACAGCACCTTATGGCTAGGAGGGACTCAGAGAACCATTTAGAACCATCATCAGATTTGACAAAGGAAATTTGTAAATTTCTCTATGTGGTGAAGTGACCTACCCAAGGTCACACAGAGAATATCTGGCAAAGCATTCCATCTGTGGTCACTGAATTTCTACTTATTCAATTCCTAAATCTTAAAAGACAAGTTTTTCTTTTCTTTTCTTTCTTTTTGAGACAGGGTCCAGCTCTGTCGCCCAGGCTAGAGTGCAGTGGCATGATCTCAGCTCATTGCAACCTCTGTTTCCTGGGCTCAAGCCATCCTCTCACCTCAGCCTCCCGAGTAGGTGGGACTACAGGCACCCACCAGCACACCTGGCTAGTTTTTGTATTTTTAGTAGAGATGGAGTTTCACCATGTTGCCCAGGCTGGTCTAGAACTCCTTGCCTCTTGTGATCTGCCTGAGTTGGCCTCCCAAAGTGCTGGAATTATAGGCATGAGCCACCATGACCCGCCACTCTGCTTTTCCTACTCCCTCCCTCCCTGAGTTTGAGCTCTTCCCTAAGAAAAATGATGACAAACAAGAACTGTCCAATACAACACGCTCCACACACTCTTTACCTGGTGGACAGAGGGGACACAGGCTTCTGTGTCCTCACCCTTCCCCCAGTGGGTTTCCTGGGAGGGAAAAAGGAAGCACTGGTTTGTGGATGCCGATGTCATAGGCTGCTGTCCTACAGTAAGCAATGCTCCAGGTGGCAGATAATTAGGAAAAATTTTCACACACAGCCTAGCCCACTCTGTCCCCCATGCCTCTATTTCCCTGGGTACAAAAAGCACTGAGTATGTCAGAGATCTAGACAAACACAGGTTCCCACTAACCACCCGCCCTTTCCCACCCCAGCCTGCCTAAGTCCTCAGGGTATGCCATCCTACTCCAAGGCCCAGATCTCAAGGGTCACTAGAGCAGTCTCGTCATGATATATGCAGTCTAACCCAGCACAGCAACTCTTGCCAGAGGTCGGGTGAAAATCTCCACTCTTAATGGAATCCAGTCTTGGTAGTATCTTCCCTCTCTTGAGGCAGCCTCCCCAGACACCAGCCATTTTTGCACAAATGAGGCAGCAGCAAGCAGTGTCTCTTAGGTCCTCAAATCCCCTCCCTGCCATATGCTCCCCTAGGACCAACAATAGGAGGATACTTCCTCCACCTTTCAAGCCAGGCAACTTAGCAGAAGCTGGTGGAGCCAGCTTGGTCCCCAGGAGAGTAGAGGACTTGACGGCTTCCTCACTAAAAGACAAGACCCAACAGGCATTTTTGGAGAATCTGCCACATGCTCTCTAAATCCAGTGAGTGTAGGAATGCTAACTGTTTGTTTATGCCATCCCTGTCCCTCACCCATCCCCATTTTCCTGAAGCCAAGCTTCCAGGTGGGAATGATACCTTCAGAAACACCCACAGTATGTAGCCACTTCTTACCACCAGCCCAGGAAGGGGAGGATGCCTCCGTGGAATGGTCTGAGTTGCAAGCCAAGCTCATTTCTCTTCCACCCCAGGGTGAGGGCTAGGGCAGGTGTGTCCAGGAAGAGCTTCCATTGCCAGTCCACAGTGACTAAGGTGGGCCTGGCCTAGACAGTGAGCCTAACCTGCGCATCTCTGAGGACAGTGCTCCATGGGCTCCCGGCCAGGGGAAATGTCCCTGACCACACCTCTCTGCGGACCTGCTGTCTTCTTACATGCTTGAATTTGGGGGTGTGGAGTTATATCCCTGAGTGATGGTCAGCAGACTGCTAGCCCATTGGCTGGCACTGGTCCCAAGGATCATAATTAACTGATAACGCTAATACAATGTGAGTTTGTGCTCTCATAATAGTCTCCTGCTGACAGATAAATGCTGCGGAAACATGATGGCTTTTCCTGAAGCCGTAATGGGCCATTACTGGGGCAAGAAGGCTCATGTCCTATTAGCACTGCTGCCACGACACCAAGGATAAAATATGAAGGGGGCATCTTGAGTGGATAAATGCTTGGGTGCCCTCCCACCACTGGCGTCATCCATTTCGTTATCTGAAATCCCTACCAGGGGTCTTGGAATAACTTCCAGATATTTCAAAGCTCCATTCGTTTTTCTTTTTTCTGAGCCTCAAGATCCATTCTCACCACCACAGCTGATTGATATATTAAAGTTCTCTCTTTACCATAGATTCTTTCTTCCTGTAGGCCCTATACAAGATGGTAGCTGCAGTGAGCAGGCAGGTTGGAGGATGAGGAAAGTGAGATTTGTCTCTCCATAGAAACAAAAAATCTTTTTTTTTCCTACCAACTACCAGGAGAATAGGAGCACATTATGACTGTAATAGCTTTATCCCTTGCCAAATTTCTAAGGGAGAAAAAGAGGAGTAGGAGAAGCACAAAGAGAAAATGAAGGAGGAGAAGGGAGATCAGGGGGAGAGAAAGAATACCATACCTCGATAGTACCTGGTAGCTAAGAGGCATTGAACAATTAGCTGTTGACTGAATGAATGACCTGTCTCATTAAATATTTTCCATTACAGTGGATTGTGGAGTTTTTTCTTATAACAAAGAAACTTGACCTTATTTTTGTCCGTGTCACATATTACATTATCGTTCAGTTTCTTGTGACTTTGGCGACAATTTTTTTTTTTTGAGACAGAGTTTCACTCTTGTCGCCCAGACTGGAGTACAATGGCGTGATCTCAGTTCACTGCAACCTCCGTCTCCCGAGTTCAAGTAATTCTCCTGCCTCAGCCTCCCAAGTAGCTGGGATTACAGGTGCCCACCACCACACCTGGCTAACTTTTGTGTTTTTTTTTTTTTTTAGCAGGGATGGGGTTTTGCCATGTTACCCAGGCTGGTCTCGAACTCCTGACCTCAGGTAATCCATCCTTAGCCTCCCAAAGTGCTGGGATTACAGGTGTGAGCCACCATGCCTGGCTTTGGCAACAATTTGAGCATACATAGTTGATTACAAATAGTAATGCAAGCAATTTGTTTCTAGGGTCTCATCACTGGTAGAAGAAAAAGTTCTCTTTGGCTGATGATAGTTTTAACTGCAAAAATCCCATGGTCAGCAATGGCCACAGAAAGAATAAACAGTTTCTTTGCAAACTCACAGATTATGCCTCCATTTTCATGTCTATTCTAAAAGATAACTATTTTAGAGAAACCACAAAATATGGGAAACTTTCGGAAAATTAATTCTAAAGCAGCACACACACTTGTATTGTTGTTAAGTGCAAACAAAGAAACATGTTGACAGAGCCTGTCTCCCTAGTATGAATGACAGAAAATTCAACATTGGGGACATTCAAAGGTGTTTTTATTTCCTAATGGCTCAATTAAGGTAGAACTTCATTGTACCCAATTATTTTTTGGAATAAAATGCATTTTATTTTTGCTCTAGTAAAATGTTTTGTGGAGAGAAAAAAAACCAGCAAATGCTTCCAGGTTTTAGGAAAAATCAAACATCGAGGCCGGGCGTGGTGGCTCGTGCCTATAATCCCAGCATTTTGGGAGGCCGAAGCAGGTGGATCACCTGAGCTCAGGAGTTTGAGACCACCCTGGGCAACATGGCGAGACCTTGTCTTTACAGAAAATACAAAAATTGGCCACACACTGTGGTGTGTGCCTGTAGTCCCAGCTACTCGGGAGGCTTAGCAGGAGAATTGCTTGAGCCTGGGAGGCAAAGGTTGCAGTGAGCCAAGATCATGCCACTGCACTCCAGCCTAGGTGACAGAGCTAGATCTTGTCTCAAAAAAAAAAAACCTCAAAGAAAAGAAAAAATCAAAGATCAGTGTTTTCTAAAGTGTAGACCTATAGAAAACATGGTTAAGATGACAGCTTTTTTTTTTTTCTTTTTTTTGAGATGTTGCCAGGCTGGAGTGCAGTGGCACCATCTCAGCTCACTGCAACCTCTGACTCCCTGGTTCAAGCGATTCTCCTGCCTCAGCCTCCTGAGTAGCTGGGATTACAGGGACGCACCACCGCACCCAGCTAATTTTTGTATTTTTAGTAGAGACGGGACTTCACCATGTTGGTCAGGCTGGTCTCAAACTCCTTACCTCAGGTGATCCACCCACCTCGGCCTCCCAGAGTGCTGGGATTACAGGCGTGAGCCACCACGACCAGCCAAGATGACAGCTTTTAACTGTGTTTTTACACGAGAAAAGTGCTGGCTGACCATTACCTTCACAGATGTATACTGTAATTAAAACAGTCCCATTGGTGAACTCTCCACCACTCTGAATGATGTAATTATGAATGGGTCAGTACAATTCTACATGAAGGCTCGAGCTTCATAGCATGGCCATCCATAACATCTTTATTCTTCATAAACAACTGGGAACACCAAGCTTCAATAGAATTCCTGACTTGGGAGGGTTTGCCTTTCCAAGAAGGACAAGACAAAGCAGCAAGGGAAACTACAGAGGAATCAGAGAGTTTAGAAAAATGGGTAAAAGGCAGTCACCACTACAAGATTTAATATGGATAAACACCAGTAATACACTTGTCAGCAGTGACCCTCAGCTGAGCCACAGACTGTAGGATCGCTGGTTGGAGAGCAGTGATGCAGAGAGACACCTGGGGTCAGAACCGATAGCACATTAAACATGGGCATCCAGCTTCATGGCATGATAAACACTGCTTTGGGGTAATTCTACCAAGCCCAGCAGAGCAGGGAGCAGTAATAATTCCTCTTTACTCTCCCTTCCTGAAGCCACAGAGGGCGTTTTACACTCACCTCTGAGGCACTTGCTTTGAAAGCATACTGGGGCCGGGCTCAGTGGCTCATGCCTGTAATCCCAGCACTTTGGGAGGCTGAGGAGGGCAGATCACAAGGTCAGGAGATTGAGACGATCCTGGTTAACACGGTGAAACCCCGTCTCTACTAAAAATACAAAAAAAAAAAAAAAAAAAAGGAAAAATTAGCCGGGCATGGTGTCACGCACCTGCAGTCCCAGCTACTGAGGAGGCTGAAGCAGGAGAATCACTTGAACCCAGGAGGAGGGGACTTCAGTGAGCTGAGATAGCACCACTGCACTCCAGGCTGGGTGACAGAGCGAGACTCCGTCTCAAAAAAAAAAAAAAAAAAAAAGCAAACTGGAAGGGTGTTGTGGAAAGGACTTGAAGAAAGGTGGAGGGGGACAAAGGCCTTCTGCAGGGTGTCTGAGCACCACAAGGAGGGGGAGAAACATGGGACAAGGAGGGATGGGTTGTCCCTGCCCATGGAAGGGCAAACACTTAGGTGCTGACCCTGTACCACACACAAGCTGTTGGCTCGGGTTCCCTGGACTGCCTTCTTATTTTGTCTCTCTTAGTCAGCTTCCCTCTCAGGTGAAATCTCACCTCTACTCCCAGTGCCTAAGATCTGGCTTGCTGAGAAGCCAGATGATGGCACCCAGAAGTTCAGGAGGGCAGCTCCCCAAATTTCTCCCTCTTTCTCCCACTCTGTGTACTGCTTCGTGGCGTGATTTTTTTTTTTTTTTTTGAGACAGGATCGCCCCCTGTCACCCAGGCTGGAGTGCAGTAGCACGATCATGGCTCACTGCAGCCTTGACTTCCCAGGCTCAAACAATCCTCCTGCCTCAGCCTCCTGGAGAGCTGGGACTACAGGTGTGTGCCACCACATCCAGCTAATTTTTTAAAATTTTTTGTAGAGACAGGGTCTCACTATGTTGCCCAGGGTAGTCTTGAACTCCTGTGCTCGAGTGATCCTACCACCTTGGCCTCCCAAAATACTGGGATTACAGGCATGAGCCACTACTGTGCCCAGTCAATTTTTTTTTTCTTTATAAGCTTTCCAGAAAATGCATGCAACCTGCTAAGCCTCTGAGGCTGGATGCAGTGGTGGCCAGCACAGCACACATCATCATGTCTCACTGCCTGGCATCTCCCCTCCCCTTACTTCCCTTTTGCCACCACCTCCATTCCCTGGGCTTGCATCTCCCAAATGAAGTACCAGTAACTTAATGCTCGCCCCAGGTCTCTGTTTTCTAGACGACCAGGGCTAAGTCAAACAGCCAGTCCGCAAATCGCTTAGGGTCACTGACTTTCTTTCCATTTAATTATTGTATTATTTACGAACCCCCTCTTTGGTTAGGAAGGGGGCACACAGTGAGTACAGTGATTGATGGATGACTATCTGTACTCAGCACCCAGTTACAGACTCACTGTTTTGCAGAGCCCCACACAGGTCCTGCCCTGCACCATCCACCCACCCACCTACTTCAACACTCTAGTTCCGGTTCAGCTGCCAGGATGTTCAGGTTAATGGTGTCATCTAAAGCCAAGCGGTAGAACCATCTGGCCCAGTATCCCTTCTCCACTGGCTTGCTCTCCTCCCACCACACCTGAGAGGCCAAGTACATATTGTGCTCTTTCTTTGCCCTGGTTTTCTCCACAAGGAGTCTGCTACTTCCCGGGGCGACCATCTCCCCTTCACGTGCACACACATCCAACAATAGCTCTAAGTTGCTTTTGTCTTCCAGCAATGGGAGGGTCAAGTGACGGTAGCTTAAAGGGTAAGAGTCTATTATATCACACAGCAAATTTTCCAGAGGCAGGTAGTTCCATTTTTTTCTTCTGCCGTCCTTAACATACTGGCTTTCACCTTCAACTTGTTCTCCCATTGTTGAAGGCCGGTTTTGGTGGGCCTGAGCATCCTACTTCCTCACCCAGCTGTGTCCAAATCCAGGAAAGAGGTGAATGTATTTGTGTGTTCGTGTTGAGGGATATGTCGCTCCTTATTTCTTTAGTTTGTTTTTTTGTTTATTTCTGTGTTTTGATTTGAATTTAATGTGAAGAAAATCTTTTACAGGAGTTTCTCTTTCCCACCCCAGCAACTTATCCTCACTTCTTATTGGCCAGACTCCAGTCACGTGTTCACCCCCAAACCAATCACTGTCAAAGGAGAAATAGTCCACCATGACTGGTTTAAAATACGATCACTCCCTGAAGGTAGGGGAGAGGCTTGCTTTTCCTGAGAACGCTGGCATTTAATAACAAGCAAATCCACTTCTGTTGTAAGCGGAGGCAGGAATGGCTCTTGAGTTGGCAACCAATAGTCTGCTACACCTTGAGGTGTACCATGTGCAGGGTGGTGGAAGGAGACCGGATGTCAGCGAGCAATAAGAGAGGCATTTTCTGTACAGAATGGAAAAGCAAGACTTACACCGACTAAAAGTCAGAGTGTTTTTAATTATCATCTTGCTCCAGCTAGTCAAAATGATGTCAATGATAAAATACTCCTCTCCAAGAAAATCTTTTGTTGGTCTAAGTTCTAAACAATTTTTGCAGTTGCTGTTGAGTCTTAATAATATATGTAAGCTTCAAATTAGCAAGTTTTTGTTACCTATTATTTAATACAAATTGCATTCCACCTGGAAGTTAAAAAGTCAGACACACACACACTACACAAATGTTTCCAGAGTAAATTCCTAATGGTTCAGAATGGTTCAAGCTCGCTTAGGCACACTTTGTGTCTCAGCCCCTGAAGTACTACATACCCCTGCGTTCAAACAATAGATTCAGTGGGGGGCTTGTTTGTTTGTTTGTTTGTTTGTTTTGGAGACAGGATCTTGTTCTGTCACCCAGGCTAGTGTGCAGTGGCGTGAACACATCTCACTGGAGCCTTAATCTCCTGGGCTCAAGTGATCTTCCCACCTCAGCCTCCCGTGTAGCTGGGACCACAGGTGTGCACCACCACATCCAACTACTTTTTTAAAATTTTTTTGTAGAGACAAGGGTCTCACTTTGTTGCCAAGGCTGGCCTTGAACTCCTGGACTCAAGTAATCCACCTGCCTAGGCCTCCCACAGTGCTGGGATGACAGGCGTGAGCCACCATGCCAGCCTTAGCACAGTGATTCTAAAAACAAAGAACTCAAGTTACTTCACTCTGGTTATTCTGTGACCACTTGGCATTTTTATTTGCATTTAAAATTGAGAACAATGAAACAAATCCCGAACTATGAGATGTAATTCTTGGTAGGATCACATATTAGTTCATACATAACAAATTTCAATGAATTTAAATAATACCTTTAAAATAGAAATGTATTCTTCGTTCCGAACAGCTTATCGTTTGTTTTTAAATTAATCGACAGATCAGGAAAGTTCACGATTATTATTACTACATGATTGTTACCAAGAATAATTTTGTTGTATAGAGAAGGGCAGTTGCTCAAAATGATCCAATCTGGTGTCACATGCTTGAGGTCCCTCCCAGCCATGTCCTGCTACCCTTCCTTTACCCCAGTTATTCTTTGTCTCTTCCTGCCCCCAAGTTGGGTTGGTGATTCTGAGAAACAGAAAAAGGCAACTGTCCACATGTCCTTAGGGCATTTTTTTTTTTTTGAGACAGGATCTCGCTCTGTTGCCCAGGATGGAGTGCAGTGGTGTGATCTCACCTCACTGCACCCTCTGCCTCCCAGGTTCAAGCAATTTTCCCATCTCAGCCTCCCAAGTAACTGGGATTACAGGCATGCACCACCACACCTCGCTAATTTTTGCATTTCTTTTAGTAGAGATGGGTTTTCACCATGTTGGCCAAGCTGGTCTTGAACTCCTGATCTCAGGTGATCCACCCACCTCGGCCTCCCAAAGTGCTGGGATTACAGGCGTGAGCCACTGCGCCTGGCCCCTTAGGACATTTTTAAGAGAATGCATCCCCAAACAGATCAGTAGTAACCATCACCAAACCCCTGAAAGTGTCCAGAAGCCCCCTCAGCATCCTCATCATTTGCCCATCTACTCTACCTTTCTCTAATCAAATCATGCTGCCTTTTATCAAATATCAGCAATAAAGACAGAAACTCTATTTCTTATTCAATCATATGGTTGGTTCCTCTCTTTTGGGCAATCACTGTAAAAACCATAGCATTTTCACTTTCGGCCCCTTCTTCACTGTACCTGTGGAGTAAGCCAACTAGAGCATCAATCTCAGACTCAATGACCAGGGGCAGCAGGAGGCAGAGAGGAAGCTGGCAGTTGCTGCACACCTACTCTGTGCTGGGAACCTGGCTGTGTTCTGCCACTTAGTCCCATTTCAGGGAAGCCAAGCCCACCTCTCATCTGAGCTGGGTGTCATCACTCCTTTTATTTACTGAGGAGAAAATTGAAGCTCTGGGGATAAGATTCTCAAGGCCAGAAAACAGTCTGGGATTAGAACCCAAGTCTAGCTCACCCCAAACCTGTCCTCTCTGTCAATTCTACTACGTTACTTCAACAGAGTCCATCCCAGTGCAGCATGCTGTCACTAAAGAAAGGGCGTTTGTGAGTAGGCCTGGAAACCTAAGCACTGTAGATAACTGGGGAAATATGTGCGTAGGTCCAACCAATTGATGGATAAGAGGACTTTAGGAACAACTCCTTTTGGGAGGCCAGTGTGGGCCAGCCCTCTCCTCACTGTCCATGTATTTAGAAAGACGTGTCCATTCCCAGTAGAAAAGTTCTTTCCAATTGGAATGAGGTGTGCTCTCAGCGCTGAATGGAGAAAATGAGAAAAGGAATATAACATTGGGGAAGAAACCAATTGATTTTATGGAATGATGCCAAAGGGTCCATTTTAACTTTCTATGACATGGAGAAGATGAAGGGCAGCCGGAACAAGAAGGAGGAGGTGAAGAAAAGGAAGACCGTCCACTGCCAAGCAAAATTTCCCCATGAGGACCAATTTGCTTGGTTGGAGCAGGTCCAAATGGGCAGCAGTTCTGAAGCCAGCTAGGTGCACTTGAAGGATTTCTGCAAACACACCCAAGAAATTAGGAGGTCCCCTTTGGAGGTAAAATAAATTCCTCAGCAAAATAAAGAGGGCTTGTTACACCATATTCCTTCCTCTTCCAGTTTGAAAGGCCATAATGAGACCAAATATGTGGTTTTATTTTCGTTTCTTCCAACATCAACCAATGCACAATTCCTCTCATTCCTTGGATTCTCAACCTAGCCATTCAACCAAGGAGATGCACTTCTTGCTGTCACCATCAAAGGATAGGGTAGAGGATGGGTCTTTATGGAGACTTAGTTCCTCAACAACTCTGCAAATGACCAGGCACTTGGCTTCTGTGGGAGAGTGACTCACCCACAAACAGAAATGTTTTTGCCTAATGGGTCTCAAAAGCATCATCTTAAAGAAATGGCTTTCAAACTTTAAAAAAGAGCCCTGAGTAGTCATTCTTCAGTTGAAACTGTACATAGAAACTTGCTGTAGAAAGCAACAAAAAACCTAGGCAAGCGGGAAGAAGGGATCACCCCATTCCCACTCAGTCCTTCACCCCCACCCCCAGGAAGCCCAGGAAACATCTTTGTGGCACTCCTAGGTCTCCCCGGAGCATGCGTTGGAAATGAAAACAGCATCTCTAGAATCAGTTGTTCTCTAAAGGAATCAAATGAATAAAGAAGCATCACGACTACAAATCAGACCCATGCCTAGAATAACAACCCTTCTGGAGGCTCTGGTGCTGTGTCAAAGGAGGCCATAGTTAAAAGTTAGCAACTGCCCAAACACCCTTGTTTCCTGTTCGGTGTCCTTTGCTACCAGGATGAGGCTGGCAGGTCTTGCAGCAACCTTGCAAGCCAGGACCAAACTCATCCTCATGGGTAGAGTGGCTTGGTAGAACTCAAACAGCATCATGATACACTGATGGATTTCAAATCAGGTATGAAGCCGGTTGCTAGGGATGTTGATGTTGGTAAATAAGAGCACTGGCTTTGGAGTATGGCAGACCCAAGCTCGAATCCTTGCTGTGCCCTTCATTAGCAATGTGACCCTGAGACAATCTGTGACCTCGCTGCCCATGTTTCCACAGTCTCTAAAATGGCTTGCTGCAGGGTAGTGTGTGTAAAGAAAGCACTTTGCACCGTGCCTAGCACGTAGCAGACATTCAACAGACACTAGTTACACCCACTCCTTTCCCAAGTGGAAGTCCTGACCTTAACTCTGGAGAAGGGGAGCCTGTCTCTCAGTCATCTTCTTCCCTGTAACCATCCAGCACCCACACTGTGCTCAGATTTGGTAAGACTCAGCCCCAGACTCAGGGCAGAGCACAGCTGAGGCATTAACCCGTGGCTGACCTTGTTACTGTGACAGCTCATAAGGCTCCTATTCCCAAGCTGCCCTCTCTGCTCCATCTCATCCCCAGAGCCTGGAGGACCAAACATATCTTCCCAAATGTGACTGCAGCACGGCACCTGAGAGCCCAGTCATGCTGTGCCCACCTTCCCTGGAGTTCCCCAACCACATAACCCAATGCCTGATCCATCATGGCGAGCCATAGAGTCCCCAACAATGTCAGGGCTAAGGCCACATAGTTAGGACCATCCATGAGAGATGCCCATGGGTTGGTTTTGAGTCTTCACTGTGATTCAGACATGGAGTTTCACAGTTCAAAAGAACACCCCACTGTTACTTGAGTCCTTCAACAGGTGTAAAAAGAACAGCCATTCCTTCAGCCTCTGAGACTTACTCCAGCCTTGGAAATCTTCCCTTCTCCTACACATTTTTCAGTAACACCAGGTGTTGCTGAGATAACTCTCAGAAGTATGTATACTACTTCGATTTCTTAGTCTTGGGGGAAGAGTCATCAATATGTAACAATCCAAACACTAGCTTTTTCTGCTCCAAAGGAAACTTTGGAGGTAATGGAGAGATAATGGCTATTTAATCTCTCACAATTGAGCTCACCTCACCTCACTGCTGTGGCAGAGGGGAGCTGACTACCTTGGGGTCCCCTTTACATCCCAGCCTCCCATCATAAGGGACATCTCAAGGCAGCCACCTTGAATGGCATCAACAGTCCAGGTGGATAAGCACATGAGTCGTAGACCCCACCTGCCAGGCCACTGGGCAGCCGAGTCATCTCGATGTGCTGGGACCATCTCCAATGTAGGATGGTCTCAATATAATGAACACAGGGGCAGCTTCTCAAATGTATTCTTTCATGATTCTACCACCAGCAATGTGAGAAAGCTCCCTGTCCAACACCTGCAGGAGGCACCAGGTAGAAGTACCTCCAACCAGGGTGGAAGCCATGTGTTAGGTGCATGGGTATAAGATGTCTTGCCATTTCAAAGCCCTGCCTGAATATTGTCTCATGGATCTTGTTAGCTCACAGTCAGAGGCAGAATAATCCCTCCTCTCTGTCTGGCCGGGGGGAAATGAGTAAGGTCAATCTATGTCATTGGAGCTAAGGATGGAACAACCCAGAAAGGTAGACAGGTGTGTGCAGACTTGGAGCAGTAGGGCAGAGCAACAGGCCTCTTTATCTATCAACTGTTAAGTCTTGTTACATTCAGTGCTAGCTAATGGAGGGAGCCCTCTGATAAAGCAGTCTGCAAGGCAATGGACTTGGGGTTATATCTGCCCCAACAAATATAACAACACATGCTTAAAGAGAGAGGGAGCCTCTCTCCTACATTGCCACCTCTGCTTATGGGAAAGGGAGGAGAAGTCTGTTGGTCAGTGTCCAGGGTATTCTCAGGGTCATGTTCTACTGGCGGTAGGGCCACTAGGTGTTGAAGGTTTGCATACTTGCCCAGTGCTCTCTCTTGCCTACTTGATTTCATGGGTTCTAGCCTGCTACAGCAAAGTTGGCCTCTTCATATGCTGTCTCTCTGTCTCTGTCTCTCTCTGTCTCTCTCTCTCCCTCTCCCTCTCCTTCCAGTTCACCTGTCTACAACTAACCAGATCCCTGCTCTGCTCCGGAGACCCAAGTATCTTGGAGTTCATGGAGAGGGAGGAAATCCAGTGGTTCCACTAGGAACCCTAGAAAGGTGCATGGCTGTACCAGGATGTGCCCACACAGGATGGGATTATCAGCCTCCATACAACACGCTGGACTCAGAGCAGAGCAATGTGACAGTGCACTGGGGACACAGTCAGCCAGCAGGGCACTCTCCACCTGCCATGCTCACTCAGAGAGGGAGGAAGAGAAGTCCCTGGCACAGGCATCCCACTGAGAGGCATCAGAGCACTTGGGCAATTGAAAACTAGACCCTGGCAACCTGACTTTAGCCTTATTTCTTTTCTTTTTCTATTATGCCCCTTTACAGAAGTCAGAAAATAAGGAGAGGTGGAGTCCTGATGATCCTGGATCCAACCATACCTGAAGACAGGATCTGCCCAGACATAACAGATACGTGAGCCTTTGGGGCTTCTGCTGTGTCAGTTGCTTTTCTTTCACTCCCAAGAGTCCCAGCAAATACGAGTCACATCGCCTTGCCTCCTGGGTGTTTTCCTTCACTTTGTTTCCTCTTCCTCCCTTCTCATGCTTACCTTCCGAGAAGACTGCCTCCTGCACGAACCCTTCCCACAAGCCCTCTGCTTTCCCTGGCCTGCCCATTCCAACAGCCCTGGGATTCTGCCTCCTCCCTGTGGGCCACTTCCTCAGGTGGTTCCAAGAGGAGGTTACTGTGTACCCATCGGGGTCTGTCTGGGCAAGAGCACTGGCTCTGGACCTGGGCTTCAACCCTGACTCCCCCATGTATCGGCTGTGGGCTTCTGGGGAGCTACTCTACTCAACTCTCTGGGCAATGGGGATACTGATAGGACTGACCTAATAGGGTGCTTCTGCGAATGAAATGAGACAAGGCAGATAAAAGTTCTCAGCATAGTGCCTGGCATAGAGTAATTGCTCAATAAATGTTATTTATTGTTTTTTCACCCCTATAAAAGGCAGTCACTTGTGTTTAAAGATATAATGCCAATAGTTCTAATTTGTGCATTTCCTCACCCTTGAATGGGTTTCTCTCTATGTACCTTTCATACCTGACGACAGCAATACCAGCTTCAGCTAGAGTTTTTGGAAGACATCAGTAGGGTCAGTTAAAATCAATTCATTCTGCACAGATCATAGTGCCAGATGATCATAGGAACTGATGTCCTCTGGATGTTAGAATTATTATTATCGAAACTTAACACCAGCTTCGGTTTTGCAGAAGGAAGAACATGTGGCGATGTTTCTCAGCAATGGTCTTCCCCTACCAACATGCTTGGTATTCTAGAAGGTTATTTCAGGGCAGTGGTTCTCAATGTGGGTTCCACAAAGCCAGCAGCGCCAGTATCACCTGGGAAAGTATTAGAAATGCATATTCTCGGGTCCCACCACAGACTTGCCGGGTGGGGACCAGCAATCTGTGTTTTCACAAGCGCTCAAGTCATGGAGAAGATTCTCAAGCATGGGAGCCACTAATTTAGAAGTTTTACAGATTCTACATGTTTTAAGCTCTTAAGTCTGTCTTCTTACTATCCATATCTTCAGCTTCAAACAATCTCAGAAAACAGGGCTTTTAAAAACAGTCATTACTAATTTTTAACAAGAAAACATTTTAGAAGGGAAATCTATTAGCCATAGATGGTGCAGATTGCAGTTCACAGTGTGTTTTAGTGAACGCAAGGTGATCACCATGTCTTACTTTTTTCTTATTTTTTCTTTTGTCAACTTTTTATTGAAGTACAGTATACATACAGAAGTGTTCGCATATCCTAAGCATACAGTTAACTGAATTTTCATTAAATGAACATATCTATGTACCCAGCACGCCGATGAGAAAATCAAACCCTGCAGCACCCCAGCTCATGCTTCCTCCTAATCCCACCCCTGCCCCATCCATTGCCATTTTTTTCTTTTTCTTTTCTTTTCTTTCTTTCTTTCTTTCTTTCTTTCTTTCTTTCTTTCTTTCTTTCTTTCTTTCTTTCTTTCTTTCTTTCTTTCTTTCTTTCTTTCTTTTTTTTTTTTTTTGAGACAGAGTCTTGCTCCGTATCCCAGGCTGGAGTGCAGTGGCGCAATCTTGGCTCACTGAAACCTCCACCTCCCAGGTTCAAGCGATTCTCCTGCCTCAGCCTCCCGAGTAGCTGGGATTACAGGCGCCCGCCACCACGCCTGGATAATTTTTGTATTTTTAGTAGAGACGGGGTTTTGCCATGTTGGCCAGGCTGGTCTCGAACTCCTGACCTCATGTGATCTGCCCGCCTCAGCCTTCCAAAGTGCTGGGATTACAGGCGAGAGCCACCGTGCCCAGCCTGCAATTTTTTTTTTAAATTGCAGGAATATTTCAAACAGGCAATTTATTTTAAAGAAAGTTACTATCCTAGTCACCTCACTTACACCAAAATTATTTCAGTGTTGCTCATTCCCTTCTGCACATATATTTTATGTAGTTTTGTATTTTATCCTGTTAGAATGTCCCTGTTCCATGTTGTTACATAATTTTCATAAACACTATTTAAAACGATCCCAGCTTAATGTGTGGCTCATACCTGTAATCCCAGCTACTCGGGAGGCCAAGGTGAGAGGATCACCTGAGACCAGGCATTTGAGACCGACCTGGGCAATGTAGCAAGATCCCCAGCTCTAAAAGATGTTTGTAAAATTTAGCCAAGCATGGTGGTGCATGCCATAGTACCAGCTACTTGGAAGACTGAGGCAGAAGAATCATTTGAGTCCAGGAGATCAAGGCTACAGTGAGCTGTGATCATGCCTCTGCTCTCCAGTCTAGGCAGGGAGCGAGACCCCCATCTCTATAAATAAATAAACACTTATATACATACATAAAAGAAAGAAAATGACCCCACATTGTACCATCATATCAAAGTGTCAATTAACCATCATTCCCCCATATGTAGGCTGCTTCTATTCTGCAATGAACCTCCTCATGTCTCATGCATCCTTTTTCTTCTCTGGAATTATTTCCTTAGAATCAGCTGTCCGAGGAGAAATGACTAAGTCAAAGGCTCTGAATGTTTTATTAGGGCTCTTTATTATTTGCACTGTTTGTAAAAAATGTGAATCCCATCTTGGGTAATACTTTTGTGCATTTCTGAGCTCCTCCTTGCACCTTAAAATTTCTGGATATAGATTCTTCTCTCTCATGCCCCGTGAACCCAGAAAAATACTTCTGGTGGCACTGGGCAGGAGTGGTGGATGCTAGTAGATTATCCCTCATTGGGGAGGAGTGGCGGATACTAGTAGATTATCCTCCATTAGCTGGGCTATAGCTTGGCAGGGGCACCAGCAGGAGCCCACACCCTCCCCCAGGGGGTGCATGTGGAGGAGAGGGGGTTCAGGGAGAGAGTCAACCTTCCCTGAGGATCCTCAGAGGAGCTCCTAGTGGCCATCAAAGGCCCAACAAGGCCCCTTTCCCTCCTCAGGAGAGATGGAAATCATGGGGGACAGACAGTGAGGGAGCATAAAGTTGGACAAGAGAATAAGAGTGAGTTAAAACCCACAGGAGAATCCAGCCTCGCAGAACAATTGCAGGACCATGCGCTGATGGGGCTGGACAGGAGTGATTATTTATTCATGCATTGCTTGTTCTCCATTTCCTAAGGGACCTGCCCCCTCCCCTTGAAAGGCAGGCAGCACCAAGAGGATAGGATGAGTCTGGAGTTAGCACAGAGTGGGGAGGTCTAAAAAGAGGGTGCACACATGGGGCCATGTGAGGTCAGTGGGGTCACGTGAGGTTGGTGGGGCCACATGGCCATGGGCCAGAAGGGCAGGCTGGGGCTAGAAGGAATCAGACTGTGGGTTTCAATGACAATGTTCGTTCTGTCATCCTAGAGTCAGGATAACATAGAGCACAGGCTTTGGGGCTAGAGTCTCTGGGGTAGTCGTATAATCTGAGCAAGTCTCTGTCGCAGTCTCCTTATCTGTAAAATGGGAGAGAGAGAGTACCAGCCTCCTAGAGTGATTGTGAGATTAAATGGGTTCATAGGAGAAAACACTTAGACAAGCACATCCCATAAACCTGCTCCTCCCTGCACCACAATGTAGGAGTCAATGCTTTGCTGTAGACACAGCCAGGCAGAGAAAGGGTAAGGAGGGTCAGCCTGTGCTCTCTGCACCATCACTCATGAACCCAGAAAATGCCCAGAGAGAAACCCTAGCCCCTTCTCTGACTCTTCCACCCATTCATTCACCGATCCATTTGTGGTGATGATGAGAAAGGGCTGTGGAGCAGGTCATGTCAATGACAGCCATTCCTTCAACTTCTACCTCCAGCTCCCCATGGCTCCCTCTGGGCATTGCAAGGAAGAAGCAAGTTCCAACCTCCACTTGGCTGGAGCCCAGAGAGTCCCCTGCAGCCCCTCAAGGTTGGGGGGAAGAGATTGCGGAAGAGGGTCATCTGATCCTCTGCACACCAGACACCTGGGGCCAGGGTGGGGTGAGAGAGAATACTATTCACCATGCCTCATTTTCTGATTGGAGCAGGAGGCTGAGGGTGCAGCAGGAAAGTGTTGATGAGGAAGATGGGGAACTAACATCGAATGATTCCCTCCTATGTGTTGGACCCTGTGCTGGGTGCTCTGATGTATACAGTCTCACATATACATATATTATCCCCACTTTACAGAGAAGAAAACTGAGGCTCAGAGAAGTTAGGCAGCTTGGCCACCCTTGAGCATTTATTACTGCCCAGCATTGTACTGTCCAGTGAGGGGGACCCAGACAGGACAGAATATCTGATTTTTCTTTTTAAGTGGTGTCCATTAGAGCAGGAGAAATGACTGGCCTGGGAAAGTCTTGCAAATGATCCACATTGATACAAGCTAGAGTGCTCAGTGACATGGCTTGGATGGAGTACTGTGGGGACGTGGCAGACGAAACAAGTGACTTGGGCCCAAGAGGGAGTGGTGAGGCTTGGGCTGAGTCTTGAAAGTTGGGAACCATGTGGATGGGCAATGGGGAGTGAGGGAAACATGAGTGGTGAAAGGGAGAAGGGCGTGGTAAAAGTCTGCCAGGGTCCTTAACACACACAAACTCAGTATTTCGGGTCCCAAGCTGCCCTATAGAGCAGCATCCCCAGCCCTGGTAGCTGTCCCTATCTTTGTCCTTAACTTCTCTGAGCCCTACTTGGGTCTCTACCGCCTCTGGCCACCTGGCCCCGGCTTCAGACTGCAAGGAAGGCTGCCTGGAAAAGACCCATCCGAGGAGGAAGGTATACCCAAAGGGTGACATCTTTCCAGGGGAGACCCTAGAGAATAAAACAAACACGGATTTCAAATTCTCTCCTCCTTGGCCCGTGCAGATAAAGCCCAGGACCGGCCGGGCATGGTGGCTCATGCCTGTAATCCCAGCAATCTGGGAGGCTGAGGTGGGTGGATCACCTGAGGTCAGGAGTTCGAGACCAGCCTGGCCAACATGGTGAACGTTCATCTCTACTAAAAATACAAAAAATTAGCCGGGCGTGGTGGTGGATGCCTATAATTCCAGCTACTCAGGAGGCTGAGGCAGGAGAATCTCTTGAACCCAGGTGGTGGAGGTTGCAGTGAGCTGAGATCGAGCCATTGCACTCCAGCCTGGGCAACAAGAGCAAAACTCATTTCAAAGAAAAAAAAAAAAAAAAAGCCCAGGACCTACCTACACAAATGAGGCACACTCTTCCACCCCCGAGACCCCATGGGTTCTTGTGGGTCAGCCCCTCACCTTATTCTGGTCCCTCAGAAGCCTTTGGCCTAAGACACTGAGCACAGAACAAGGGACTGTGGTAAGAGTGTCTCCCATTTGGGTCACAATGTTGGATGAATCCCTCACCCCCGGGACCTCAGCCTTTACATCTGTAAAATGGGACTAATGCACTTGTCCTCCCCCTTCAGAGTGCAATGGTGAGATAGGTCCCTGGAAAAAGGCTGCTGCTATGTGAGCCTGGCTTCATCGCAGGAGCACTTGCCATGTCCCTGGCATCGTACTAGGCAGTGGAGAGAGCAAATATGAACAGAAAACAGCCTCTGCTGTCAGCAGCCCCACAGCCCAGTGGTAGGGGCAAGCAAGTAACACTAATGACAGGCACATGGAGAGGTGAGGGTGGAAGTGTGGGTGGGGGGGGGGGCGGGTAGAGGACCCTGGGGGCCAAGGAAGGGCTCACAGAGGAGTTGGCCAAGCAGATTTCCCGGGGGTGAGGAAGGGCATTCCAGATGGAGAGGTCAGGGTATGTGGATGCAAAGCAAGGGAGCAGGACCAGCCACACAAAGCTCAGCAGGGAGGCAGCAGGACCCAGCGGGGCTGACATAGGCTTGGAGTCAGGCTGCTAGGGTTCAAACCCCTGCAATGTGTGACCTTTTAGTTTTCTTTTCTTTTCTTTATTTTTATTTTGAGACAGGGTCTCGCTCTGTTGCCCAGGCTGGAGTTCCATGGCTCCACCATAGCTGACTGCAGCCTCAGCTTCCTGGGCTCGTGATCCTCCGGGTTCAGCCTCCTGAGTAGCTGGACCACAAGTACACACCACCACATCTGGATAATTTTTAATTTTTTTGTAACTAACATAGTGAGACATAGCGTCTCACTATGTTGCCCAGGCTGGTCTCAAACCCCTGGGCTCAAGCGATCCTCCTGCCTTGGCCTCCTGAAGTGCTGGGATTACAGGCATGAGCCACCACACCCAGCCCTTACAATCTGTGATCTTGGACAAGTCACTAATCGCTCTGTGCCTCAGTTTCCTCATAGGCTCTCCTGTACTTATAGTTTCTTCTCTTGTCCAGATAAAATGAGTTATATGCACAAAGCACTTAGAACAGTGCCTGGCACATGCTTAGCGGTTCATAAATGATGATGATGATGAAGTGATGGGGCTGGAAGGCCTAAATAAACCCACACAGAGGCAGGCAGGGCGGGAACTGTAATCCCCGAGTCTTAGGGGATGGTAATGGCTGGCGAACCCAAGACATACAGGGTGAACCTTAAGTCAGGCGGATTTGCAGAGATGAGGGCCTTTCAGCTGCCCATCGGTTTCAACAGCACATCAGAGAAAAAAGTGGTGGGGTTGGGGACTGTAAAAACAGCTGTCTCCTAGCTAAACTCCCTCCTTTGAGGTTAGAACCAGGAGGGCAAGCCCTGAAACCTCACCAAGATAAGGGGGTGCTGCCCTCTCCCCAGCTCTATCCAGGGGCTGTTTCAACTCCCGGACTCTCCGGGACAATGGCACGCTCGTGAGAGAGGCCGCAGAGCGAGGCAGCTTTTCTCACAAGAGCAATGGAGAGAGAGAAAGCCAAGGTCTAGGGTGCCTCAGAGGGCAAAGGTCCGTGGCCACGGGACGTGCCTGTGCCTACCCGGCGACCCTGCGCGCGGCCCGCAGGAGCGCGGCGATTCGGGGCCGTGTGCCACCAGAGGGCGCGCTGGATCTCAGAGTGTGCGGAGCGCTCAGCGAGGGGCGCGCGGTGGGAACTAGGAAGGGCGGACGGTGCTCGCCTGTGTGCGCGTGGGGGCGGAGGGAAAGAGGGGAGAGAGCCCGCGTTCCCAGAAAGCCCGGAGTTCGAGGGTTAGGGCTTTCCAATCAGCTAGCTCAGAGCAACCGGGGCCGAGGACATAGAAAAGTTACACTAGTAATATCAAACTTACACAATACTCACCATGTGCCAGGCACTGTTATCCAATCCTCACCAGAAAGCCAGATGTTATTATTGTCTCCACTTTATAGTCAGAGAAACTTGAGCTTCCCTGCGCCAGAGGTCCCACACCTGGCTGGGGCTAAACCTGGGATTTGAAGGCCCAGGGTCTGGCTCCAGGGCCTGTGCCCCCAACCGGTGCCCTGTAATAATACTTCTCTAGTAATCTAGTCTCCCAGGTCCGCTTGAGGCTTGATCACTTTCTCACTAGCAGCTCCCTGGTTAAGGTAGCTCAACCCTTTCCTGCAGAAGAGTTGAGTAGATACGTTCCCGCTTGCTAGGCTGGCATCACTACTGCAGCTGCCCCAAACCTCAAAGACTGCTCAGTGGCCGCCAACAGGTTCTGATTTAATTAACATGTACTGAACACTTACTGCATGCTGGGAACTGAGTTAAGGCATTTACATAGGTTCTTATGCAATGCTCCCAATGATGTGTAAATTACGTGTACTTGTTCTGATTCTCATTTTACACACGAAAAAAGTCAGGCGGGTAAAGGAGGGTAAGTGGTTTTCCTGAGTCACACAGTTCACTCCAGCCTGTGGAGCTCCAACCACCATATTCACTTATCCATTCATTCAACAAATCTACTCTGTGCCAGGCACTGACTCAACAGCGAACAGGACACTTAAAAACCTGTTCACTTGCTTTCTTGGAGTTTGCTTTTTTTTTTTTTTTTTTTTTTTAAGAGACTGGGTCTCACTCTGTCTCCCAGGCTCGAGTGCAGTAGTGCCATCATAGTTCCCTGCAGCCTTGAACTCCTGGGCCCCAGTGATCCTCCCGCCTCAGCCACCCAAGTAGCTGTGACTACAGGCATGAACCACTGCACCCAGTGAAGTTTATACTCTTCATCAGCTATAGAGAGTCCCCCACTGACATTCACCCAGTCCTTGTTTCTTGTTGGTTTATGAGAAGAGGTGAGAAGAGGTCATATGCTCTGAACAGAAAGGAAAACAAGCTTTTTGCATATGGTGGCATACATGAGATAATATTCCTTCACCTTCACCCAGAAGGTGGTATACTGATGGCTGTTATGGGTTGAATTGCATCCCTCGAAAAGATATGCTGAAGTCCTCACCCCCAGTACCTGAGAATGTGACCTTATTTAGAAATATGGTCATTGCAGATGTCAAGTTAAGATGAGGCCATACTGGAGCAGGGCAAGCCCTAACCCAATGCAACCAGTGGCCCTATAAGAAGAGGAGAAGACATGGGGATGACACAGACATGTTACAACAGAGGAGACTGAAGTGCTGCAGCTCCAAGCCAGGAACACCAGTGACTGCCAGCAACCACCATAAGTGAGGAAGACGTAGGAAGAATCCTCCCCAGGGTTTTATAGGGGGCATGGCACTGCCCATACCTTGATCTTGGACTTCTAACCTTCAGAACAGTGAGACAATACATTTATTTATTTTTAAGCCACTCAGTGTGTGGTACTTTGGTATAGCTGCCCTAGGAAACCACTCTAATGATATTAACTTTAATTCTTTTCCATTCATGGGGATGGTGTGCTCCCTCATCCAGGTTCTTTTTCTCACTCCAGCCCCACAGTGGCCAGGGTTGGGGGAATACTGAGGTGATGCACAGGTGCAAAGCTCACCGGCCTCAATGACATCTACCCCCAACCTGTGGTCTCAGCATCACCATCCTCTACCTGACTGAATAGACCCATGGTTACCAGTCAAGATGACAAAGGTGTATTCATCTGGCAGAGGCAAGGCAGACAGCAGGCAGGTGTGCCCAGGGCCCCTGTACCTCACCTGCCAGCCTCACTCAGCACTGCCAAAGCCTCATGTCACTGATGTACTGCCTGTTGATTCCTGCCGAAGGACAGGGCAGAGGGAGAAGCTGCGTCCTGCTAGTCCATCAAGCTGTGTCCAGGTGGTCCATGGTGGCATCAGGTAGAGGCCATCAGCCTTGTGGGGAGTCATGCCTGACCCGGTCTCTCTCCCTCAACAATCACCCCCTAAAGTGCCTCGATACAGCTGTCATTGTACCTGGCTCATCAGAGGGCTTCAGGCTCTGGGAGACAGAATATTGATTTGCTTGGCTTAGGATATTCTGGTTTGAAAATAAACAAAGTGCCAAATCTGAAAACTGGGGAGTGACTCAGTCCCTCATTGTGAAGTTACAGACACTAGTGGCTTCTGCCGTCCTGGTAGGTTGGGGCCCTGGCAACAGTCACTTTGAGTCTCCTGGGCAGCCATGCAAGTGTTTCTCAAACCCCTTCAGCTTGCTGACATTTTTCTGGATGTACAAACATTCGCAGGCATATGTCCTGTCTCTCTAGGAAGGTAGCAAACTTCTCGAGGGCAAGGGCTGTTTTGAATTGTTCTGTGTCCAGCACAGTGTTTTCTATGATCAAAGGAAGCTAGGCACATGGTCCGCCCTACCCACACCCCTGGCTGGCTTGAGGGCGGACATGCTTTAGTGAGAAGTAGAGGTTCCTTCTGGATTGTCCAGCCCAGCTTATGTGGGAGGGAGAGGAGCAGAGATTCAGGGCAGTTGCTCCATGTAGGTGTAGAGGAGCCCTTCATGGGAACCTCCCCCAGGATGGGAATTTCAGAAGTTGGGGCAGGTTGGTGGGTGGCAGCAAGGGAGTAGAGGAAGAAAAGAACGCTCCAGTATCACTCACTAAAAGAATACTTGTCTCCCACAGGAACAGGTACCCAAGAAAAGGAGTGTGAGGTGGCAGAGAGAATAGTAAGCCTGATGAATCTTACTGAATGTAAGCCTGGTTTTCATTAGACCCACCCCAGGCACATGGACCCTACTTCCCCAGTAGTGCAGCAGTATTTTCCTAGCTGCAAAGGCTCTTTCCTTTTCCTGAGTCTTTCCTTCCCTTTTTCCCTTCTCTATTCATTCATCACTAAACAAATCTTTAATGAGCACGCACTCAGAGTCAGGCACTGTTCCAGGTGCTGGGGACCCAGCAGGGAAAAACCAGACAAAATGACCTGCCTCTACGGAATTTACGTTCTAGTGGACGAGGATGCTCTCTGCTTTCCTTTTTCTCATCCTTCTCTTACCACCCACTAGGCTATTGGTAGTTCAGATAAACCCCAACTAGAGAGTCCAAATCTCATTCATTCATTCATTCTAGAGCTGTCCATTAAGTGCCTAGGATGTGCCAGGCACCATTCTAGACCCTGGAGATCTTGAGCATCTCGCAGGAGGCCACACCTTCTTGGGTTAAGGACAGTCTAAAAGAATTACCCCTCCCTTCCCAGACCAGTGCATCCCTCTGGACACAGAGATGTTGCAGGAAACTCTTGATTATTTGTGGATATTGCGTACAGAATGTAGATTGAGTTAGGTGTGAGCCACTGAGATCTTGCCTTTCCCTTTGTTGCCTCCTTTCGTGATCCCCGCTTTGCACCCTTTGGAGCCCAGGAGACCACAGAGGGAGCCCTGGCATGCACTGGGCCCCATTCCTGATGGGAGCTGTCTCCCGCCATAGCAGCTCAGCCACTCCGGACTCCAGCTGCCCCGCCAGCCCTCGCTGCTTTAATTAACTCTGTCCGGATGCGCTGACTCACTCATTGGCTCTGTGACCCCCCTGGTCACAGAGGACACCTCCTCAGACACAATTACATTTGAGGATGAAGCATTTCCTCTGGGCACAGAACAAGCTAGTGAAAGCTTTTCTGGGGGAGTGGGAAGGGGGGCCTGCTTGGAGATGACTCACGAGCAGGCCTTGAAGTTAGTGGCATCCCACAGGGTAGGTGTGTCTCATTCAAATGCTATATGCCCTACAGGCCTTATTACTCCGTGGAAGTTTCTGTTCTTGGGGGGAGAAAGAGGATGCACCCACCTTCCTAGGCAAAAGGGGACTTAACACCTGCATCAACACGGGGTATATCAGTAACTATGCGCAGTGTCCCCAAAGCCCCGGGTGGCACCCCAAAACCCCGCAATCACCCATATTTATTTAACACAGTCTATGCACTTGCCCAGACACAAAGGAAATAAATAAAATATGATCCCTCAGCCTAGATTTGAGAAGAAGAATCAAAGACTCTAAGCTCTATAGCATCCCTGTGAGACAGGTATTCTCAGTCCCATTTTATGGACTAGGAAATTGAGGCTTGGAGAGACTGAGTGACCTGTTTTCTCAGGAACTGCACTGGCTTTAAGAATTCAGTTGGCTAAGGATGATTCTGAGGTCTTGCACAGGTGAGCAGGAGGACAGCCCAGAAAAATTGAAGTCTGGTCCTCTTTCCTGACTTACATTTTAGACACAAGGAAAGAATACTAAGAAACCAGCCTGTGTGGGTATGACGGAAACAATATTCACGTTGGAAAACCTCCTGTTGTCCTGTAAGTACAGCCTCTTGCAAGTCTATGGAAACTAACAGTCTCAAGCCCCAGACACCCACCACAGGGCTGGGTCTGGTGCTGAGCCTGGGGGAAAGGTTATCAGTGTTTCCTTTGTGGACATCTGACATCTCTCTTTAAATTGAAGTGAAGGAATTTGCATTTTAATGATGATTTTACCAGGTTTGTGCCACCTTGAAGTGGCTAATAATTATTAGGTTGGTGCAAAAGTTATTGAGGTTTTTGCCATTGAAAGTAATGGCAAAACTCACAATTACTTTTGCACCAACTTAATGAAGGATACTGAACAAAAGAAATTCATTGGGAAGTGTGGTAGGTATTTAGTTTAAAACATACTCAGATGTCATTCTTATGACATCTGTAGGGACACAGCCATCTATCCAGCATCCACCTATCCATCCAAGTATTTCCTGACCATTTGTCACATATAGAAAGAACAGTGAATTAGACACACATGGTCTGTGCCCTCAGGTAGGAGAAAGGAAGTGGCTGCTGCCCATTGGTGATCTGACTGGTTGGTGACTCAGTGGGGTGAGGAGTCTCCTGAACTGTTTGCTCAGAGTCCTTGACCTCAAGGTGAGTGTAATAGAGATGCTCTGGACCTTGGGGTCAGGCAGAACTGGATTGGAGTCCAGGCTCCATCACTTACTAGCTGTACAACTTTGGACAAATTACTTAACCCCTCTGAGCTTTGGGTTCTTTATATGCAAAATGAAGAGATACCTACCTGGAAGAGTTGTTGGGCAGATTAAGTGAGCTATTTCAGTGTCTATGACATGCACTGTTGCAGGCACTGGCTTTAGCGTCCATAATAGTAGCTTAGAGTATTGGGCCCCCCATTCTGTGCTAAGTGTTACCCATTTAATTCTCATTTAGTTTTCTCGGTGTGTGTGTGTGACACACACACACACACACACTTCATGAGCAAATACTGTCCCCATTTTATTGGTGCGGAAACTAAGACTCAGGGAACATGTAACCAGCTCAGGATTGCATAAGTACTAAGAGACCTGGCTGGGATTTGAACCACATCTCTCTGCCTCCAGAGTCCATGCACAATAGTAATCTTTTCCCACTACCCACATACATAGGCATAGGCTGATAGCTCACAGCCTAGTCTAGGGTCTGGACTCCTCCTTCAGCCCACAGACAGTAACCCTGAGGTGGATGAGGAAAGATGACATCTGAAGGCATCAGTCTCCCTACAGGGTGATATAGGGAGACTGCTTGTTTCCAAGAGGCCAGGGTAAGGGACAAAGGTGTCAGAGAAACCTCACTTCCTGCTACAGCCCCCATAGTGGCATCTGGGTCCCAGCCTTGGCCTGGCTCTGCGGGCAGTGTTTGCATAAGCACGTGCCTGTGAGCATGTGTGTTGGGGGTGATGTTATTCACAGCTGCTGGCCGACAGTAAATAAGACAGTGGGGCTTGATTCATGAGCTCTGACAGGAAATCTATAGCATGTGGTGTCTATAATCCACAGACTACGGCGTGGCAAAATGAAAGAACAGCAGTCCAATTACAGAATCCTGGTGGATCCTGGGCACACCTCTCAGACCTTGCAGGACTCTGGCTTGGCTTGGCTGGGGATGGCCTGTCTGGAGCAGCTGGGGCAGATGCTCCCGTGGTCTGGGCATGTGGGGGAGCAGCCCCCAGAAGCAGCTCCCAGTTGAGGTGCCTGGGCACAGCCGGGCTGCCTGAGGGATGGGAAGGAGGGGCATGGAGGCTGGCACTCCCAGCCAGAAATCCAGGCTCAGGTCAGCTCACCCAGCACCAAGCCCCCATGGTGTCTTGAGGCCTAGCCCCAGGGGAGTCCCTCCAGCAGACAAAAGCAACCTGCAGACCCCTATGCTCTCTGCCTCCTGCTTTCAAACCCAGGACACTAAGGGTGTTGCCCTGGGTGAGCCAGGGATGGGTGCCCCGGGTGGAAGTCATTTCAGGGTCTGGCCTTTGGGGATTTAGAGAAGGCTGGGCTGTAGGCGTCTCAGCCGATCAGAGGGGTTAGCATTCCCACTTAGGACACATAGCAGTTCCCCACCAAGTATTACAGAAGTTGGAGGAGCAGCTTTCCTTCACCTTAAGGGCAGGATCTGCATGGATTCCATCTTTTTAGCCCTGACCATGTACTGGGTTGAATAGTATATCCTCAAAATCCATGTCCACTCTGTGAATGCGGGCTTATTTACAAATAGGATCTTTGCCTGTGTAATCAAGATGAGGTCATGTGAGATTAAAGCGGGCCCTAATGATATGTCTACAGGCCAAGAAACACCAAGCGTTTCCGGCAACCACCGGATACCAGGAGAGAGGCATGGACAGATCCTTCCTCAAATGGCCCTGCCAGCACCTTGATTTTGGACTTCTGGCCTCCAGAACTGCAAAAGAATCCATTTCTGTTGTTTGAAGCTACCTGGTGTGTGGCAATTTGTGACAGCAGCCCTGGGAAAGCAAGACACACAGCCTGGCACACAGTACCTACCTAAAAAACAAACGTGAGACAGAGCCCGGAAGGTCTGAATTCAAGTCTTGGCTTTATTAATTGGGTCTCTCTGATCTTATTCAAGCTACTCTGCAACTCCTCCTCTACAGAGCAGCCAGGGCAAGTGTTGAAAAGCACAACACTTTTCCTCTGGGTGGATACCCAGTAGTGGGACTGCTGGATCAAATTGGTGGTTCTACTTTTAGTTCTTTCACGAATCTCCACACTGTTTTCCATAGTGGCTGTACTAGTGTACATTCCCACCAGCAGTGTGGAAGTGTTCCTGATCACAGCATCCATGCCAACATCTACTGTTTTTTGATTTTTTGATTACGGCCATTCTTGCAGGAGTAAGGTATAGTATCGCATTGTGGTTTTGATTTGCATTTCCCTGATCTTTAGTGATGTTGAGCATTTTTTCATGTTTGTTGGCCATTTGTGTATCTTCTTTTGAGAATTGTCTATTCATGTCCTTAGCCCACTTTTTTGATGGGATTGTTTGTTTTTTTCTTACTGGTTTGTTTGAGTTCGTTGTAGATTCTGGATATTAGTCCTTTGTCAGATGAATAGATTGTGAAGATTTTCTCCCACTCTGTGGGTTGTCTGTTTACTCTGCTGACTGTTCCTTTTACTGTGCAAAAGCTCTTTAGTTTAGTTAGGTCCCAGCTATTTATCTTTGTTTCTATTGCATTTGCTTTTGGGTTTTTCGTCATGAAATCTTTACCTAAGCGAATGTCTAGAAGGGTTTTTCCAAAGTATCCGCTAGAATTTTTATAGTTTCAAGTCTTAGAAGTCATTATTTGAAAAAGATACTTGCACATTCATGTTTATAGTAGCACAATAGCAAAATCATGGAACCAACCCAAATGCCCATCAATCAACGAGTAGATAAAGGAACTGTAGTATATATATGATGGAATACTACTCAGCCATAAAAAGGAATGAATTAACATCATTTGCAGTGACCTGGATGAGATTGGACACTATTATTCTTTTTTTTTTTTTTTGAGATGGAGTCTCTGTCACCCAGGCTGGAGTGCAGTGGCACCGTCTCAGCTCACTGCAACTTCCGCCTCCTAGGTTCACACCATTCTCCTGCCTCAGCTTCCCAAGTAAGTGGGACTACAGGTGCCCACCACCATGCCTGGCTAATTTTTTGAATTTTTAGTAGAGACAGGGTTTTGCCATGTTGGCCAGGCTGGTCTTGAACTCCTGACCTCAGGTGATCCACCTGTCTCAGCCTCCCAAAGTGCTGGGATTGCAGGCATGAGCCACCACGCCCAGCCTGGAGACTATTATTCCAAGCGAAGTAACTCAGGAATGGAAAACCAAACATCATATGTTCTCACTGATATGTGGGATCTAAGCTATGAGGATGCAAAGGCATAAGAATGATACAATGGAGTTTGGGGGCTTGTGGGGAAGAGTGGGAGGGGGGCAAGGGGTAAAAGACAACAAATATGGTGCAGTGTGTACTGCTTGAGTGATGGGTGCACCAGGATCTCACAAATCACCACTAAAGAATTTATTCATGTAACCAAATACCACCTGTACCCCCGTAACTTGTGGAAAAATAAAATAATTAAAAATAAATAAAAGCACAACACTAATAACAATAGTGAATATTTTGAGCACATAACACATGCCAGGCATTATTCTAAGTCTTTTACAGAATTAAATTTATTCCATCCTCACAATCACCCTCTGAGGTTAGTACTGTTACTGATCTCATTTTACAGATGAGAAAACTGAGCCCAGAGAAGTAATGAAATATTTCTGAAGCTAATAATTATTGCCGCAGGCACCATTCAAATCCAGGCAGTCTAATCCTCATATTCAGTCTATCTCCCACTATATTTGACATCACTCCCTACCTAAAATCATCCAGTGACTTCACATTACACTTAAATTAAAATGTCTTACCATTACCTACAAGGGTTTGCCTGATTTGTCTCTGATCTAGCCTACCTCTCTAAATTTCTGTAGTTCATGGCTGAAAATTCTTTACTCCTCCTCCTACAAATTAATGATTTTATTTCTGTCCCCTTGAATTTGGGCTGGCCCTAGTAACTAGCTTAATCAACAGAATGAAGTGGAAACGATGATGCATAATTTCCAAGGCTAGGTCAGAAGAAGCCATGCAGCTTGGAACATTTGCTCTTGGAACCTAATCACCATGCTATGAGGAAGCCCAAGCAGCCCCGTGGAGGGGCCCACGTGGAGAAGAACTGAGGCCCCTGGCTGACAGTCCCCTCGACTGAGCTCCCAGTCAACAACCAGCACCACCTGCTACACATGTGAGTGGGCATCACCTCCAGCTCCAGCTGAGCCACCCCAGCTTGATACTGCAAGGTGTGGTGACAAGTCACTCTCCCCAAGCCCTGCCCACATTTCAGATTTGTTAGCAAAAGAAAGGATTGTTGATATTTTAAGACACTAAGTTTGAGGGAGGTGGTTACACTTGTTGGATTCGAATCCAAACAGTCTGACTTCAGAGTCCATGTTCTCAAACACTGATTGGCATCATGCCATCACTCCCCTACTTAAAACCATCCCATGACTTTATGCCATACCTAGAATAAACCACCAACTCCTTGCCAGGATGTACAAGGCCCTGCTTAATCTGTCTCTCCAACAACTTCTTGGACCACCCTCCCTCTCACTTGGCTCAGTTCATCTCTGTTCCTCTAACATTCTGAAGACCCGGACTTTTGTATCCACTGTTCCTTCTGCCTGGGCTGCTCTTGGCAATGACTGAATCTTCCTCACTTCTCAGGCCTGAGGTCAGAAGTTCTGAGAGGCCCTCCCTGAATGCCCTGTCTAGGGGATCTTCTGGATCCCTTCATCTCCCCTGTCCACTCCATCACCTTGTTCATTTCCTTCACTGCAGTTTAGTCTAATTTGTAATGATCTCATTCTTTGCTTACTCGATCCCTGCCCATTTTTCTACTGGAACATAAAAGGCTTGAAAGCAGGAACGTGGCTGTCAAGTTCACTGCTGTGATCCCAGGACCTGTCACAATGCCTGGCATGGAGTAGATGCTCAACAAGAATTTTCTAAACAAACAAAAAAGTCAGTTATTATTTGTCAAGTTCCTATAAGGAATCATGCCAGGAGATGTGCTAAGTGGTCAACATCCAACAACCCTGTGGCATGGACCTTACTATTCCCACTTTACAGATGGGGAAATCAAAGCTCATGCGGACCAAATTCAAACCAGAAGTCTTTGGCTCCATAGCCTATAACCTTAAGCAGACAGCCACGCCCGTTCCTCTCTTTGCCTGTCTGAGCTTCAGGCTCCTCACCTGAACGAGTGGAGATGACCACAGCAGCTGCAAGTGGGAGCACCAGCATCAGCATCATGACAGGTGTCAGGTGGAAGAATGCCCTTACTGTAATCAGCAATATTTCCCTGGTCTTGGAGTGGTCTGAGGGCTCAGTGGGCTTTGCCTACAGGCTTGCTTAGGGCTCTCACCAAGTTCCCTGTTGCCCCTCACTTTTGCCCATGCTGTTCCTTCTTTCCTGCCAGAATGCCACCTCTTCTGAAAGGTGTGTCTGATTTAGAGAGCCAGAGGGAGAAGGCTGCTCACCCCTGGGAAAGCCTCCTGCCACTCAGGACCATTGTGCTGACTCCTTCCTGGGAACTCTCACAATGCCACCCAGTGGGGCCCTTTGTTATTCTCTAATAGGGCCTGTGTGTTAGCCCCGTTGCCCCAAATACGCTCTGATGTCTTTGAGGTGAGACTTCACCTTATCCTTCTCTGTATACCCGCATCACTGCTGCCACCACCTGCCCTCCCATGTCCCAACCTGCCTAGCATTCTGAAGTTCCTCCCTGGGGTCCCCATCAGCCCAACTCCAGGCCATGGCCTCACTGGGCAATCTCAGGGACATGTGGACTCTTGCCAGAGTACCACCTCCAACTCCTCACCATTCTCCAGCAGGTTTTACGCTGCCAGCCTGGAGAAGGACAAGCATGAATTTGCCAAAGCTTTATGTGAGAATTCTTATCCAGATGCATCCTCAGGTATTCTCATGCCTCCAGTGCCCAGCCTTACTCACTTCCCTCCAGGTAGTTTAAAGAATACCAACTGGACACCAAAGCTAGGGTCAAATTCTGGCTCCCAGAGACAGTGGGTGGGCTTATTAATTTGCTAACTTCTCTGAGCAGGGATTGAGCTATCCAACTAGCAAGACTGCCTTGATCAATTTAATGATCATCAAGAACAGCACATACTTTTGTTTCCCCACTCTATTCCCTGGAGACCTCATGGCCCATCTTCCCTAGGAAACTTGGCCTGAGACCCTGGAGGCCAGGAGCACTAAAGGCTTTCAGGCCAAGTCTCAAGAGAAATGTCAGCCCGCAGGGCCTGGGGACAAGAGTTCTGAGGGAGGCAGGAGAGCCGGGTGAAACCTGAGGGCTTCCAGGAGGCCACAGGGAGGGGAGTACATGAACTGTTTGCTGAAGCCCCCGCCAGTGAGGTGTGAATGTTGAGGTATCTCTGAAAGTGGTCACAATGTGGTGGCTGGGGAGGGGACGAGGACAGCAGGACATAAGGCCCCCAGGCCGAGAACCAGCTGAGGGAGAGCTGGGGGCTGTCTGGGCAACGTGGCTGGGCACTCAGCGAAGACTGTGCAGGCTTCTCTTCTGAGAAACGCCAGGACCTAGGAGAGGGGAGAAGGGAGCCCAGAGGGAGGAGACTCAGTCCATGAAGACAGGAAGGAGCAAGAGAAAATCCCATTTGCAGGAGGCTGGAGCACACAGATTAGAGGGGGCTTGGGGAAACCCTGTCTCGACCCACCTTCTGGGCAGCTACTTGGGTGCAGGGGCAGGCTGAGTCTCGGTACTTCACATGCCCCTTCTCCAACCCTGGGAGGAGGGATGATTACATCTATTCTGCTCATGAGGAAACTGAGGCTCAGAGAGAACCAATGATCGAGCTCACTCAGTTCATAACAGAGAGAGCAGACATTGCAGTTCAGCTCCACTGCAGAAGCATATTCCTCTTCCATCACCTCCAAGCCAGAGCCCCTCACCCATGACAGAGTTTGCCAACCTGCTGCATTGTGCCTTGTCTACAAAGTCCAGATTTGTCCTCCCTCATGGTTTGTCAACACAGCTAAGCAGGAAATTCACACCAGAAAGGCACAGACTTTGTATTTAGCCTTTGATGATACTGAATTGCTCCTCATTCCTTCAATAAAGCCATTCACCTGATGGACAAGGAAGGAAGAAAGGTGGGGATGGGGAGAACGCACATTCCTGCACACACCTCATTTCAGTTCCCGGCCACAGCAATCCTACCAGGAGGTAGAACCGTCTCCATGTGGCAGTGAAGTCAACCGAGCCCAGAGAGGCTAAGTCACTTGTCTAAAGTCACATAAGCTGGCTGACATGAAGCCACGGAACCGAACCATAGGATTCAAGCCTAGGTCTTCCTGGCTCTTTCAACAATGCCATTAAAAACTCTGAGTAAAAAGAAAACTCAGATGTGAAGAAAAGAAAGAAATGTGTGTCAGGAGCATGGGCCGGGGGCACAGGGGTGCTCACATCTGTCCGTCTCCTGACCCAGCCACTTTCTGCGCCTCGTTCCAGTCATCACTCTGAGGGGTGTTATCTGAGGCCATATCCCCAGCCCCTGGGCATAGAGTTAGAGCGATTCCCTCCAGGTTGTCTAGGAAGGACACTTTGCTTAGGTGAATGGCCACTCTCTGGGCCCTGCTGTCCTTTTCCGGCCTCCTGGGCTCCCCACCCTGCCCCCCAATTGTTATCTGTCAGTACACAGTAATTAGAGATGTGGCATGCTTGATAAAGATTGCCGCCTGCCCCGAGATGGAACTGCCCTCTCGGACGTGTCTAATTAAAGTCCTGATTGATAAGATGAAGAAATCCCACCCGGATGGATGTGTCCCGGCCTCTCCCTCCTCTGTGCACTCAGCCCCTTCATTATGGGTGACGAGGGAGAGAGATATAAAGCACCCCAGGAAATGCTTCTACAAACCAATCAATATGTCCTTTTGTGCGATGTGACGGGGCACGCGGCATAGCCTTTTGAACCATTCCTGGGGCCATAGAGGCAGCCAGGCAGCTGGGAGAGCCCCCTGCCCCGGGCTTGTGAGTGTGGGGGGCTGCTCTTCTACCCCAGCCTGGGTCGGCTCCAGGAGGCCAGACCAAGGCGAGTCTGGCCTGTTCTTTCACCCAGGCTGCTTTCTCTGTCCAGAGAATTGTGGGATTCTGGGGCTCCTTGCAGAGCACGCACATGTCCACACAGCTGTACAGGGGCCTGTCTGGACATGGTACAGTACACGTCCATAAGCAGCCTAAAGCTGGGTGGGTATGAATACACACATCTGAGGTGGAGCCCGGAAGCTCATGGGGCCCCAAGAGGTGCAGGTGGAAGGGGTAGAGACAATGGTAATGACGATGGCTACCATTCATGGGCACTGACCATGTGCCTGGCCCTTTGTTAAGTGCGTTCATTATCTTATTTCATCCTCACAACAAATCCTACAAAGTAAGTGATGGTAGTATCCCCGTTATGGAGATGGAGAAACTGAGGCATGGGGAGGTTAGGTCACAGAACCGTAAGCGTGGAGGACCTGACGATTTCAAGTGGAGTCGATGCTGATTTCCGTGATGCCACACAGCAGAGGCTCAGAGCAGCTGCACCCACTAGGGTGTGCCATTCTTGGATATGATATACACATTATTTAAAAGATTTTTTAGGGCCCTAGAAAGATACATAATAAATTCATGATACTCATCACTGGGAAAGAGGAGAAAATAACTGGAAGATGGGGCACAAAAAATCAAATGTTCATTTTTTTATCAAAACATGAGACACAGGTAACAACATATTATCCATGGTCCCTTTGAGGTGCATGCTATTTTTCTTTTTCAGGGGGTTAAGGGGACGGAATCTAGCTTTGTTGCCCAGGCTAGAGTGCAATGGCACAATCTTGGCTCACTGCAACCTCCACCTCCCTGGTTCAAGAGATTCTCCTGCCTCAGTCTCCCGAGTAGCTGGGATTACAGGCCACCACACCCAGCTAATTTTTTGTGTGTTTTTAGTAGAGACCAGGTTTCACCATGTTGGCCAGACTGGTCTCAAACTCCTGACCTCAAGTGATCCACCCAGCTTGGCCTCCCAAAGTGGTGGGATTACAGGCATGAGCCACCACACCTGGCCTGCTATTTTCTATTCTTTAAAAAAAGAAAACCTATTTCCTAAAGGAACACAAAATAAGCTATACCCCTCTCTTCGAAAGGAGGGGAGAATATGTGTCCTATAAATATGCCACAATTTCATACCCAGCTTTGCCAGGGACAGGCAGCCTGGAGTTGAGATGTACCATCTGGCTAAGGAGAAGATGCAGGCAGCTGTGAGGAACCATCTTTGATGAATAACAGATGTCCATGGTTTTGGTGCCCCAGTAGCTCACCCGGCTCTCCTGGCTGGCAGGGCTGGCACGGAGGTGCTAGCTGGGGCAGAGAGGCTGGGCAGCAGGCTCCCCTCAGGCACTCTCCCCTCCAGCAGCCAGGGTGCCTGGGTGCTCGCTCCATGCCCACCCGGGCTGGAGCCAGGGCCAGGGCTTGATGGAATGACATACTGCTGTACTAGCTAATAAATAGAAGTAATTTGATTAGCTTTCTCTAACTGGTGATAAGATCCTGACAAACCCTTTTTAATGCGTTTCTGGAGCAGGATGAAATTGTTTCATTCGGAGAGTAGGGCCCCCTGGGAGTCGCCTTGAAGCTCCTTTAGTGAGAGGTAAAAATATGCCAATCATTAATGAGGGGAGAATTGCAGAGACTTTAATGCAATCAGAAAGAGGGGCCCCGAGGCAGCTCGGGAATAAAACCTGCCCTTAAATCAGAGACAGGCGGCTGCAGGAAGGAAGGAGGAGGCGATGTAAGCTTGCATGGAAAGCAGAAGCTACAGGCCCCATCGGGCAAGACAGCTGCAGCCCCGGAGCTTGTGTCCACACAAAACCCTACACCGTGTCAGGGACTCCTACCTGAGGCCGTGGCAGTAGGAGTAGGATTGGGCAAAGGAGGCAGTGTTCATAGAGGGTGTGCTCTCAGCACAGTCCCCCTCAGAACAAGGACCAGGATCTCATGAGTTCCTAGAAAAGTTGGTAATCGACCAAAGCCTCCTTCCTAGGACAACTGTGGGAACCACAGTTTTGAGAAGCCCTTTGCTGGAGCAAAGAGAAAGATTATTTCCAAGGTGAAAGCTTGCTGATGAAGCTTCAGGTGAACAGTCAAGCACCCGCCCTTCCCCATCCAGCCCCCGCCCACACACACCTACCCATTGCTCATTTTCTAGAAGGTTCTATGGATTCCACCTACAGCACCATACAAGGTGAGAGGAAGTCACGATGTATGAGTGGACCCGTCTTTTTCTGAAATTCCCTTGATCTGGAGGCAGGAGTTGAACAAACAGGAGCACCTACCACCACGAATGCTTCCTACCTTCCTACCTAACACCTCTATTGCATCCTGCAACACCCACGGCAGCTCCAAGGGGAAAGTCCTCTACCTCTGCCAAGTTAGATGTCAGATCTGCCTTCCCACATCATGGGACAGGATGCCTCAGCCCCAGGAGAGTCTCGGCCACTGCAAGTGACTTCTGTCTCTCACTGGCACCTTTAATCAGCAGCATCCCAAGTTGTCCATGCCTAGATTCACTCTCTCTGCATCTCCTTCTATGCTTCTCCTCATCCACGCCACGCCAGCCACTGGCCTGGCTGTGCCTTGAACACCCCTAGTCCGTTCCTACCTCAGGGCCTTTGCACTTGCTACATGTACCCTCTGCTTGAATCTCTTCTCTGGGATTGTACAGGGCTGGCTCTCTCCCTCACCTCCTGCAGGGATAGTGAAGGGCGGTGGAGATCGCCCTGGCTTCCTTCCTTTACTAGTTCTCTACGGCACTTGCCTGTTTAATACACTAAATGTGTTCACGATCTTGGCTATTTTGTCTGCCTCCTCCATCCCCCACCCCCATAAATGTAAGATACACTGAAATAGAGACTTTTGTCTGTCTTGTTCACTAATGTATCCCGCACCTAGCACATGCTAATACATTTGCTGGAATGCGTGAGTGAGTGAAGAGTGGGTATCGCCCCCCAGGCAGATGCCCCCAGGGAACTGCAGCTCCTGCAGTTGAGCTTTCAGTGGCTTCCTCTCACTCCTGCTTTTGCCCTGGGGATCCTGGGGAGAAGTGCAGACTGCTGGTTTCTGTCACCCCAGCAGGAAAGACAATAGAAGGAAGGAAGCAGGAGGTCCCAGCCATGAAGAGGGTGTCAGGGACCAGGGGGTCTGAAAGCCCAGGAATCAGGGTCTGGTTAGTTTCAAGGACTGCAGTGGGGCAGGTGCAGAGGCAAGGTCATGGGCCTTTCTGCCCCTTCATCCAAGACCAGCCATCTGCTGCCTGCTCTCTATTAAACCATGTAAAACCATGCTCAGGAAGTCAGCCTGGGGCTGTGGACACACAGGGCCAGGAGAACCACTCAGCCAAGACTTGGTCTTGAGCCCTTGGGCCAGTCATCGCTGAGCCTTGGTTCCTTTGGCTGAAACATGAAAGAGGTGCAGGAG
Organism: Homo sapiens; assembly: GCF_000001405.40. Classification (NCBI taxonomy): domain Eukaryota; kingdom Metazoa; phylum Chordata; class Mammalia; order Primates; family Hominidae; genus Homo; species Homo sapiens. The sequence goes on along the minus strand of NC_000014.9, from coordinate 76,336,255 downwards.
AGGACTTCTAAGGACCCTCAGCACTGACATTCCATGATTCCTGGAGGATGTGGACAGCCTGGACCTACCTGGCAATGGCTCCCTGTCAACTAAAAGGCAGCGAGATTTTGCAGATTGGGTGAAAAGGGATCTTTCTGACCTGCTTTCCACATGGTAAGAGGAAGCCACAGGATGACACGGCGTGTTTACAGCACAGACTCTGGGGCCAGAGTGTTTGGGTTTATATCCCAGCTCTGCCCGTTATTTGCTGTGCAATCTTGGATAAATGACTTCACATCCCTGTGCCTCATTTTCCCCTTTGTTAAAACAGGTTGAATAATAGAAGCTATTCTGGGGTTGTTGTGACAATTACATAAGATTATATTAACTACGCCAGCAAAGTGCTTAGCACCGGGCGCATCATGAGCATTCAGTGAATGCTGGTTGGTGTGATTAACTTATGACACCTGAAACCAGAGCTTGCAGAATCAGGACAGGGGACAGCCCAGCAGGTAAAAGTCCAACTTAGGAATCAACTTCAAAAACACAAAGCCATGGTGAGGGGCGGGAAGAGAATGGCATAGTCAGAGAATTCGCCAACTTAGAACCCACCAACCAGCAATCATTGAGCACCCACTGTGTACAAGACACAAGGGAGGATCTCAAAAGAAACATGGAGCACCTGCTGGTTTGTTTCCTTTTCACCTAACTGTACACTCTGTGAAAGCAGGGACCATGTCTGTCTTCGCTACCACTGCAACCACAGCATCCAGTGCCTGGCACATAGTAGCTCCTTTATAAATGTTGGTTAAATAAATAACATGTGTACATTAAATTGTACTGGCCCCTACAGCTTCTTCTGTGACCCCTGATACACCACTGTCCATACAGTGGCTTCCAGTTTGCCTTCCCCACCAGACTGAGCCAGCCAGACACAGTGCCTGGTATATACTGGGTACATACTGGCTCAGAGATTGGGTGGATGAACAGAGGGTTGGTCAGAGGGCAGCAGAGGTGCCAAGGCAGTGGTGCAGACAATGAGTAATGTTGGCGGAAAAGAGCCTGGGAGATTGGCTAATGGAGATTCAAGGATATCAGTGAAGGAGAGCATTCCAAATGGACTCAGTGCAAAGCGAGTTGCCAAACAGGGTGGGCCAGGACCCAGTGGTGGTGAACTAAGGGGAACCAATAGGGAACTACGGCGCCCTTCATCAGAGAGGGGCTGGCCAATCACCAGGTACTACCAAGGTGAGGCCGGCCCAGAAGGCTGGTTCAGGAATACACCCACATGCCTGATAGAGTCTCAGAGAATGAAGAGTCACCTCGGGCCTAGGAGTCACCTCCATACCCACAGGGCCCCCATCACCACGTGGCTCCCTGTCCCTGCTGCAGACCAGCTGAAACCCTAAGGAGATGGTCAGATCTCTGGTATCCCCAGTTTCTACCAGCCCTAGCTGATGGCACCCAAGTGTTTCTGGTTCCCCCAACCCAGCAGCCCCACTTTGGGAAAGGAGACGGCCCAAAGAAAATGGCTTGTACAGCACAGGAGGGTCAGAGGCTGGGCCACAGCTACAAACTCTCTGAAGTTGGGGAGACATCTTTAATGTCTTCGGGGCCAGCCACCCCTCCCCACATCAGATCCTTTAGGGAGGCCAGCCAGCAGGGGCTGCCTTGCTGCAAATGACTCCCTTTGTCATTCTGTTTTGTTATGATTAAAAATGCATGTCGCAGGCGAGGCCCTGGAGTGGAACCCGGTTGAAAATTGAATCATTAATATTCCCCCTCCAGCTGATGCCCTGTGCTTCCCAGGCGGCTGTGAGCGCGAGGCTGCAACAGTTTTGGAGTCAGAGCAAGATGAGGAAGACGGAGGGGTACACTGGGCCCTCCGCCCAGGATTCGTACCCCATCCCTTCACCTGGGAACAGGTGTCAAGGTCTCGGCCCTTAGAGTTCTCTCTCCAGAGTATATTCTCGAGCTCTGCGCATGTTGCTGAAAAGGAAACTGCGATCTTGGAGGCTGGACATGATGATCAGGTGCCCCACTGGCCTCCTCCGTCCCCCTCGCCACCCACCCAGGCCCCTCTGGCTTCCTGCTCTTCATTCTGCTGGTTTCTGCCTGGACTGTTCGTCCTTCAGAGATTTATTATTCTTATTTTTATAATTCTTATTAATAGCTAACATTTAGCTAGCACTTTCTACCTGCCAGGCACTATTTCAGCCCTGTACGTTTAGGAGCTTCTATAGTTCTCCTAACAACTCCAAGGTAGGGCTTCTATTCCTGCCCCATTTTACAGATGGGGAAACTAAGGCACAGAGCAATTCAGCAGCTTATCTGAGGTCACACAGCTAGCAAGTGGCTGCAGAGTTTGTGCTCCTAACCTCTAGACTTGCACAGTCAAACATGGTAGCCGAGGGCCGCAGTTGACACTGAGCACGTGAAATGCAGCCAGTCTACACTGGGAAGTACTGGAAGTGTAAAATAAATACCAGACTTCAAACACTTAGCACAAGAAAAAGAAGGTAAAGTATTTCGGTGATAATTTTTTTAATATTACCTATATGTCGAAATGATAATATTTTGATATATTGGGTTAAATAAAATATATTATTAAAACTGATTTCAACTGTTTCTTTTGACTTAAAAAAATGTAGCCTAGTACAGTGGCTCATGCCTGTAATCCCAACACTTTGGGAAGCAAAGACAGGAGGATTGCTTGAACTCAGGAGTTTGAGACCAGCCTGGGCAACACAGCGAAACTTTGTCTCCACTGACAACAACAAAATATATATAATATATATTTATATATGATATATTTATATATGATATACTTATATATCATATATAAATATATATATGATATAAATATATCATATATAAATATATATATGATATAAATATATCATATATATAAAATATATAATATATAAATATATCATATATATAAAATATATAATATATAAATATATCATATATATAAAATATATAATATATAAATATATCATATATATAAAATATATAATATATAAATATATCATATATATAAAATATATAATATATAAATATATCATATATATAAAATATATAATATATAATATATATATAGTATATATAATATATATTATATATAATATATAATATATAATATATAATATATATATTATATATTATATATTATATATAATATATAATATAAATAATATATATAATATATAATATATAATATATAATATATAATATATAATATATATAATATATAATATATAAATATATAATATATATAATGTAAATATATAATATATAGATATATAATATATATAATGTAAATATATAATATATAAGTATATAATATATAAATATATATAATATATAAGTATATAATATATAAATATATAATATATAAAAAAATATATTATATATAAATATATAATATATAAATATATAATATATAAATATATAAATATATAATATATAAATATATTATATATTTATATATAATATATAATATATATTATATATTTATATATAATATATAAATATATAATATATAAATATATATAATATATAAATATATATAATATATAAATATATAAATATATAATATATAAATATATATAATATATATTTATATAATATATAAATATATATAATATATATTTATATAATATATAAATATATAATATATAATATATAAATATATAATATATAAATATATAAATATATATTATATAAATATATATTATATTGTATATATTTATATATTATATACAAATACATATATAAATATATATTTATATATTATATATATATAGAATATATATATATATGGTGGTGCACCCTGTAGGCCCAGCTACTCAGGAGGCGGAGGCAGAAGGATGGCTTGAGCCCAGGAGATAGAGGCTGCAGTGAGCTTTGATTGTGCCACTGCACTCCAGCCTTTTTGAGACCCTGTCTCAAAAATTTTAAAAGTGTGGCTACTAGAAAGTTTAAAATTACACACGTGGCTTGCATTGCATTTCCACTGGACAGAACTGCTCCAGCCCACGCAGATTCTAACTTGGTTCCCTGCAGGTCCCTCGGGTGGATGGAGGCTTACATGTCACCTCTGCAGGGAGGGCTTCTCCATCCCAAGAGAGAGGCAACTCCAATCATCCTCTCCTTTATTGGTGTAGCATCAGATTCTCCCACCAAGCACATAATAAATGCTTCATAAATATTTGTTGAAAGGCTGTTGTAAAATGATCTGTAAATTGGGGTTGGGGAGGGGACAGAAAGCTGGCTCCATGGTTTTCTTAAGCTAGGATGAGAGCTAACACCAAAGCCACAAAGTTCTCAGGAAATGACCATTGAGATGACTGGGCGCTGGGCACCTGGACTTCTATTAACTCAGTTCTTTGGGCCAGACCAAGATCGGGGCTGGGGGACTCCTGATGAGCAAAGCCAGGCACGTGGCCACCCTCCTGGCACAGGTGCAGGGACCAGAATGCTGCCACAGGGCCTCCCAACCCAAACCAAGCAGAAAGAGGCAGGGCTGAGCTGGAACAGGGCTGGGCCTTGGCCTCCTGGTCACTGCTGCCAGGGTGATGTCGAGATCTCCAAATTAGCTAGCCCCCTGGACAAGAGGACAGGCAGCTGCATATCCCCAGCTCTCTGTTGTCCTTCAAGCAGAGAACCTTAGATAGTCCATATTCGGCCTTCTCCATTCCATTTCCCAGATGGGAGAAAAATGGGTAAAGGAAGGAAGTGAAGCTCTGATAGCCTCTCCCCCAACCACACACACTTCCTCCCTCTCACGTCTTTAAGAGCAGGAGCGAACACATCAGGAGCCCTCACTACACGAGCCAGCGCTGTGCTGTGCATGCCACCCGTGTTAGTTCATGTGAGGCAGCTACTTTTATCATCCCCATTTTACAGATGAGGAAACTGAGGCACAAAGGTGAATTCACAGATGGGGCCAGGATTTGACTCTAGGTCTTCTGATTCTGGAGCCACAACCATTACCACTGGCCGGTCTTCACCAGGCACTCAGGCCAGGGAAATGCCCAGAACTCAGAGAAAAGCTGCCAGGAGTCATGCCAGGGCTGGTCAGAAGTCATTTCTAATGTCCACAGCAAGTGTCACATGGCCGGGATTTGGGACGGCAGCTTCAGGGGAGAGGGAGGAGTATGGGGAGGCGATCCCTTCCTCTTTGGCCATCTGGTAGGTTCCTATCTTGGCCATCTCCCCCAAGTTCCAGTGTGAGCAAGGACAGGCTGTCCCCAGAAACCGAGGGCTTACCTAACTGACCCCATCTCTCCAGGGCAGGGCAATGCCATCTGCAGGCTGTCTAGCAGGGGTTGCTACTGCTATTGATTTGGGGGTACAAGAGATGAAGACCGAGTCTCCAGCCTGCCACTCAGCTTTTCCGTGGCCAGCCCCACCCTGCATTCCCAGATTCTCCCAGGACTCCTCAGCATACCCCTGCCCCCATCCCCCAGACCTGCCTCCCTTTGTCCTCAAGCCCAGGATTCACCCTGAGCCTTTGCTCACAAGGTTTCCTCCACCAGGGACAGCGCCCTTGCTTCCTCCATACCTGTGTTTTGTTTCTGATGGGGGCTCAGCTGGAGTCCTAAAGCTTCCCGAAGCCCCCTGGCGACCCAGCCACCACGATCCTCGATCCTCCCTTCCTCGATTCTTAGTCTACTTGCACACCAGCTGCCAGGGAGGGGTCCCGACCTCTTACTCCAGGAAGTGGTCAGGGCAAGTACACCAGGACAGAGTGCGGGGGCAACCAGGGCCAGCGGCCATGATGGCCTCTTTTTAGGGGTATTCATAGCCACCTTCGTGGTTAGTTCCTGCTTTGGGTTGGGGGGTCTTTGAGTTGTCACCTATATGGCTCTGCCAACAACAGTGCAGGGATGCTTCTTGGACACTCTAACTGGAGCCCCTCTGCCACTGTGTCAGGCGGGATGAAAACGTAGGTCCAGGAGTTCGTGGGATTTGGTCCTGGGAAGACAGCAGCCTGGCTCCCGGGACCCCATCCCACATCACTGACCCTAAGATTTATTCGGGAGCCAGCCCCTTGGGCCCCAGAGGGTAAACGCTGCCCTGCTTCCTAGATCCCAGAGCCTCCCTCAGAACCAGGGCCCATCCTGGCCTGCGGTGGGGAATGGGTACACAGAGAGAGGGAGGGCTCCCTGCTGGCCGGCAAGGAGGGCCGCGAACAGGTGTGTCCGTCATTCGCTCTTCTGCCTCCTACCCCTTGGCCCCAGACCCTCACCCACCCCACCCTCAGCCACACTCATCCCTTCCCTCTTCCCCTCCCTCCCTCCCCCACCCACACCTCCCCAAGGACAAGCAAAGTTATTACAATAATGAATTAGCCAGCCCGCTTACTGCCGCCACTGGCGAAGACAATTATCCCCCCCGCACATCCCTAGCCGCTGCTCGGCTCCCTCGTAAAGACAGGCTTTTGGGGCCGCTTTGTGCTTTGATTGGAAATGAAGAGATTGCTAATTAGGGAACACCTGCTGGGACCCGGGCTGGCAGGAACAACGGCAGGACGGACTGAGCGGCCATTGCAGGCAGGGCAGCGTGTGCATGTGAGTGTGCGCCCGGGTCTGTGTGTGCCCACAAGGGTGGTGGGGGGAGTTGAGAGGAGAAAAGAGAGCCCGCGCTACATGGGCACCTCGGTGATTTAATACAGCTCCCTGCCACCCCACCGCGGAGCCGTAAACAAAACCCAGACATTTTATGGAGCTTTTCACCTTTTAAAGGATGCTAATTTGTTTATGGGCGGCTATAATTCTGCTTGTGTTTGCATAGGTCAGTGCCTGGAGTGTGCTGTGCATCTTTCTGCTGTGCACAGCTGTTTCCAGCTGGGCCAGCCGGCATTGGGATTCACGGAACCTCCCAGCTCCCTGCAGAGGGACGGGAATGGGGAACTGGCACACAGAGAGAACCTGCTGGCCCTGGGACTGCCTGGTAGCAGTGTTGGGGACATAAGGTCAAAGGGAGTTAAACCTGAGATTGACTCGATTATTTATTTATTCTAGGGCTGGGAACCTCCCACTTCTCCTTGTTCTCTCCTGGGCCCTGGGAAGACAAGTTCTCGAGTGACCCCTTTCCCAGAATGTGATCCAATTTGACACTGGAGTTACTGGTGTGTGGTGGCCAAACGGGTACCCAATTGCTTTTTCCTAAATACCATAAAATACTGGCTGCCAAGCCCCTTCCCTTCTCTTACCCTCCCACTCCCATAACCATGCTGACATTCAGCTCCCTTCACAACCTGGTTTTTCAGCCCCTGCTCTCTTTTGAACTGGACTCCACAAAACCGTATTGAGCAACTACTCTGTGCACCAGAGATCAAACACACACAGCTCTTGGGGGCATTCCTTTGAATATTTGCAACATAGTTCCTGCCTCAAGAGATCTCAGTCCTGGAGGGAAGACAGACACAGCAGTGCATAACTGGGACTCAGGGGCTACTGCAGACGGGGCACAGAGTGCATGCGTGGACCAGAGCAGGGGAGATGATGTCTGCAAGAGGAGGCATGAGGAGGCTTCTCTGAGAAGGGGAGAATCTAGCAGAGTCATGAAGGGTCTGTGTGAGCCAGGACACAGGGATGCAGCCCAGCCTGGCCCTCATTCAGGAAAACAGGGTGTTGCCGCATAGCTGGTGCATGGGACTCAAGGGCAGTGGAAGGACAAGAGGACAGTGGAGGTGGGTGTGAGCCCTGGGAGGTGTGTGGGGCGGGGGTGGGGCAAGAAGGGCCCTGGCCTTAGATGAACGGTGGCACCTACACATAGGCACATATGCACATTTTTAAAGGCTGCCTGCGGCACTTGTGTGTGGATTGGGGGCATTGATAGAGTCCCCCAGAAGCTGATGGTCCTGGTCCCCGACTCAGGGGGACTAAGGGACCTCCCAGCCAGTATATCTCATTCCTAGGCCAACTCTAACTGCTTCCTCTCTTTCCTGTATCTTCCTACATTTGAAGTTTCTAAAACACACAGTAGAGCTTTTGCTAAAATGCACACAGTGTCCCAGCAACTCTGCAGTTCACCCCAGGAGGTGAGGACCCTCCTTGCTGAGGTCCTATATTGGCATGAGTACTGGACTGAGGGTGCTCTGACCACCGGCCTCAGTTTCTCATCCTATAAAATGGGGAAGTACTCCTTACTTGTTTGAGGTCTCCTCTGTAGCTCTGGTAGAAATGATCTCATAGTTCCACAAAGCATTGCATGGGGCTGAAGTGCAGTACAAGGTCAAAAGCACAGGTATGGCCGGGCACAGTGGCTCACGCCTGTAACCCCAGCACTTTGGGAGGCCGAGGTGGGTGAATCACCTGGCGTCAGGAGTTCGAGACCAGCCTGGCCAACATGGTGAAACCTCGTCTCTACTTAAAAAAAAAAAAATTACGAAAATTAGCCAGGTGTGGTGGCACGTGCCTATAATCCCAGTTACTCGGGAGGCTGAGACAGGAGAATTGCTTGAACCTGGGAGACGGAGGTTGCAGTGAGCCAAGATCACACCACTGCACAACTCCAGCCTGGGCTACAGAGTGAGACTCTGTCTCAGCAACAACAACAACAAAAAGCACAGGCATTAGGGTAAGAAATGGTTCAACTTCCAGTGCCGCCATTCAACAGCCGTAAGCCATAGGCTACTCATTTAACTCCCCAGGGCCCATCTTTCTCCTCTGGGGGAATTATAGTATGCACTTCCTTGGGTTGCTGAGCCTGAGAAGGGAAGACAGGAGAGAGCGCAGTGCCTGGCTCATCATCATCATCATCATCATCATCATCATTATCATCATCACAAGCTGAATACCTTTCCGGGAAGTCAGGCTAGAAAACCTACCACCTCACATAGTGTCAAATATCCTTTCAGTAGAATTTAACAAGCATCTCTATCTTCTGAGACACTTGTCCAATTTTCCCCTTGGACTCACATGAGCATAGACACTTTTCAGGAGTTTCCAGGCGTGTCAGAGAGAAATGGGGAAGCTGGCCAAGCCCCAGGAGGTAGAGACCAGTGGCTCAGCCCACCCCCACGTGGGTCCCCAGCCCTGGGTGACACGCAGGCAGCTGCATATGCAAGAGACACCAGGACACCAGGCCTCTTGGTTGAGAATCCCTTGGCAACCATTGGCACAGGCTGGGCAATGTGAGCTGCTGGTAGTGAAGGACAGTGGGCCACTTGCCCAGCAGCCAGGAAGGCCCCCAAGAGAGACACAAACACAAGCCCCTGAGGGGTGGAAGGCACAGCTGCGAGGTCACCCGGCCCAGGCCTAGGCTCTCCCAGCCCTGGAAGCTGCCAAAAACTGGGCATGGGGTCCCGAGGCTGTGCTGGTGCTGGGCCCAGGCGTGGCTGCTCTAGCAGATGGTGGCCTATGCACCCTGGAGCCCTCCCTATGCCCAGGGATCTAAACATATGAAGTCTGGAAAAAGCAGCTGGCAAGAAGGGTGCTTTTTTCCCCTTCTCTGTGCAGGGCACAGCCAGAGAAGAAAGCCAAGTGGCCTTCAAAGGTGCAACTGGGTCCTGAAATTGGGAGAGGAGGAGGGAGTCGTGCAGCCCCAACGTCTTCCAAAGCAAACCCCTTTCCTACCCTCTACCCACTTCTACAGCCAAACTCTTGAGTCAGCAAAGTTCTAGATTAGACTGACCTTGTTACCACCAACACTCTTCTCACTCAATGCTTTTGTGTCCACAAACGCCAGCAACACTCACTGTCCATGAACTTTAGCTACCAGAGGAGCTGGTGCTTCCGTATGGCTCATCTACTTTAGTCCTTAGAGTAGCCCCACAAGATTGGATTTTATTGTTCCCTTTGCACAGACAAGAAAACTGAAGTGCAAAGAGGCAGATTAACTCGCCAGGGATCCCAAAGCTAAGAAGCAGCAGAGCCACAATATGAACCCAGATTTGTCCAAGTCCAAAGTCTGGACTTTTACCATCCCCTATGCTGTCCTCAGGCCATCAGCTGTCCATGTGTAGGTTCCTTCACTTCAGCACTGGGACATCATTGCATCTTGAGTTTCTTTCTTTCTTTACCTTTTTTTTTCCCTTAGTTTCAGCAGTGCCCAGCACAGAGCAAGTGTTAAAAACACACTTGGGCATGGCATTCTGAGCAGGTATACAAGAAACCACTGGGCAGCCACAGGCACTCAGGCTGGCACAGAGAGAACGCATGGGTCCCTGAGCACAGATATGATTGCAGTCAGTGGTGGATGCCGGGCATGTGGAGTGAGGGTGCTTTACTCTTAGCCTTTATATCACTAGGGAGGCTTCAGGGAGGAGGTGTCTCAAACATAGAGAAAATGTGATGTGGCATAGGGCTGGGGGGCTGCAGCCTGTGGGTGTGCAGCACAGGCGGGCGATGAGAAGAGGAGGCTGAGTGCAGTAGAGGAATTCACTCAGGGAGACACTCAAGCCCTTGGGACCTGGGATGAGCTGGGCCGTCTAGAGTTACTGCGGGCCAGCGCGCCCTCATGGCCCTGACCTCCCCCTTCAGCCACTCCAGTGTTCCTAGAATTAGGTATCCAAGCCCTACTTGTTTAGTGGCAAGATAACATGAGCTATAAGAGGCAACCAGGCTTGAGTTTGAAACTTGTCTTTGCCATTGCCTAGGTCTGCAGCCTCCTCAGGTAGGCTGAGGAGCTACCTGTTCAGAGGTACCTGTTTGTACCTCTGTTCCCTGAGCTACAAACTGGAGATACCACCTACTTCAAAGGCTTGCCATGGAGATCAGATGCATTAATACGAGAAGAACTTGGCCCAGGACTCTAAACGTGGTCCTTCAGCAATATAAGTTTCCCTTCTCCGTGTGCTTGCCTTCCTTACACACCCCGTCTCCTTTCCCTTGAGGCAGCCAGACAGACGACAACCAATTAAAGCCAGCAGACAACCCCTCCCTTTCTCTCCCCACTCCTGCCCTAACTAATTTGATATTTCAAACTCCAAAAGAATAAGAATTTATCTTCCGTATTTTTCCCACGCAGAGCCAGGCACGTGGACATTTATAAAAAGTGTTGCTTGTGGCTGGGTGCAGTGGCTCACGCCTGTAATCCCAGCACTTTGGGAGGCCAAGGTGGGCGGATCACCTGAGGTCAGGAGACCTCCACCAACATGGTGAAACCCTGTTTCTACCAAAAATACAAAAATTAGCTAGGCGTGGTGGCACACAGCTGTAATCCCAGCTACTCGGGAGGCTGAGGCAGGAGAATCCCTTGAACCTGGGAGGCGGAGGTTGCAGTGAGCCAAGATTGAGCCACTGCACTCCAGGCTGGGTGACAGAAAGACTCTGTCTCAAAAAAAAAAAAAAAAAAAAAGAAAAAGAAAAAGAAAAGAAAGTGCCGCTTTGTAACAGGTGATGCCTGCATTCCCTATCCTGGCCTTTTGCTGAAGGCAAATCAAAGGCCAAAAGACTTCCCTGTAGGAAGGCAATTGTAGGGAGCTCCTAATTCCATCAAAAGGACCTGGAGGGAAGCTGCTGTCCTTAGAAGAGAAAGAGGCGATTTCTTACTTTGTGTACAGCCCTCCACCAAGCGTACGTATGTGGCAGTGAGTGATTCCCCTTCCTCTGCCTTTGCTGAGCCCAAACTAGCAGAGAGAAAGAGAGATGTAACCCAAGCTCCAGACACTGATGGTCTTCAGAATCCCTGTCTTTGTAGCCTAGAAGCTTCAACACCCAGGGTCCTGGTTCTCTTTGATGAGTTCTACCATGGGCTCAACCTGGAGAGAGATGGAAGCTCATGGTCACATTCTCGAGGGACCCCCACAGAGAGGGAGGGGATGAGGACAACACTAGGGCACCAGCTCCCATCGTCTCTCTGTCCTAGATGCTGTTGGTGCTCTGCTCAGATCCCTCTGGCCAGTGATGCTCCCATCCCCAGCTGCTAACAGCTGCAGCCTTCTCCTGAGAATCACCCATGACCCACAGGAGCCCTCATGGGGTCCAGAAGGGCCTAGGAGTCTACTCCCTCCCTGCCGGGGCAGCTCTCAGCCAATGACTGATTGACTTGGGGTTGGAACTGACCAGTCTGTGCCTCAAGGTGGGACAACTCTGCAGCGTCATTTATGCTCCTGGATAGGCTGAGGCTAGACCTTGGCTGAGTCCACAGCTTTGCTTAGCTTCCTGCCGCCCTATTTTTCCTTCTTCAGTCCCTTACAGGATTCCCCAGAGAGCACTCCCTCAACACAGCTCTTGCCCAGAATGCCCATTTCAGGCTCTGCCCCTGGAGACTCCGACCTAAGTTAGTCTCCTCCCCTACCTCTCAGAAGTCTTCCCCAAACAGCCAGGGTGACAATGGAACCCAAGAACAAGGCAATGCCAAACATCACCAGGCAGAGATACTTACATGCCTTCGTCAGATGAAGAAGCACCAGTTATGCAGCAGACTCGCCCACTCTGGGGGAAATTCCAGCCCCTGAACCTGCAATGGCCCCAGAAACCAGAGAGAACAGCATTGGCCTCCTCTGGGTCACTCCCATCTGGAGAACCAGCGCCTTGGTCAAGGCCACCACTCGGGAAGTTGACAGATCCCACGCAATTCACCCTAATATGCTGTCACCCTGCAGCTGAGAACCCAGGGGCCTCTATCAGGAGCAACTACTGTCACATCCAACACACCTCCCCTCCCCAGCATGGGAACTTGAGTGGGCTCCTTATGAAAAGAAAGACCAGACCAGGTGCAGTGGCTCATACCTGTAATCTGAACACTTTGGGAGGCTGAGGTGGGAGAATTGCTTGAGCCCAGGAGTTCAAGACAAGCCTGGGCAAAAAAGTGATGACCTGTCTCTCCAAAAATTAAAAAAATTAGCCAGGCATAGTGGTACATGCCTGTAGTCCCAGCTACTCAAGAAGCCAAGGCAGGAGAATTGCTTGAGCCCAAGAGGTCAATGCTGCAGTCAGCCATGTTCCTACCACTCCACTCCAGCCTGGGCAACAGAGTGAGACCCTCTCTCAAAAGAAAAAAAAAAAAAAAAGAGAAAGAGAGAGAGAGAGACCAAAAACTGGGGACTCTAAGAATGCCAGACAAGATAGAAAAAAAATGTCCCCAAAGAATGTGAATGCTCTAGAGACAAAAAATCTCTCTGTTGGGTCATCTAACTTCGGTGATCTGAGGTTTTCAATGTGACACTGTGGCATAGAGAAAAGGAGGAAGTGCTGAACATTGGAAATCACATCAGGGACTTCTAAACATATGCTAGCATCCCCCAGACGCCCCCCACCCACTGCATTCAGAAGGGAGACTACAGGCTGTGGGAGCCCCTGGACAGAAAGTGAAGCCAGCAGAAAGGCAGAAACCTGATGAACCTGTGTCCACGGAAGGTCACGGGCAGATAGAGGATAAACACTTTGTCCCAAACAGTGAGCGCATGCTGGACTCCATCCAAGGTAGGGAGATGTTATAACTCTCCTCAGCAATGTGATTAGCATCCCAAGAGCCAAGGTGGGCGGATTGCGTGGAGATAAAGGTCACAGGAGAGTGGGCGAGGAGGCCAGCTGCCCAAGGCGGTAGAATCAGCATCGGCAGAAGACCCCACTGCCCACGTCTCACTCCCTCAATGAGAAAGCCTGGCAGTGGAGTAAGCTTGGGACAGCCCACATGGAGGGATGAACATGTTCGTGTCCCCCAAGGGGTTAAGATGATATTGGTGGTGGGAGAGGTGATGGACTACCAGGTTCAGGTCTCAAGAAAGATGACCTGTGGAAAGAGTATGGTGGGGAAAAACACAAGATGTGAAACACAATGGAATGAAAACATTGTCTATGGGATGGTGAAGGGAGGCTAGAAGGTCAGAAGTAGGGCAGGAGATGGGGCCAGGAAGGTGTGGACGTGATAAGGTAGGGGAAAATGAGCACGTGCTTTCGGAAAGAGCTCCTGGCGACGCAGCCACTTTGAAAGTCTAAACCTGCAGATTAGGTCTGCATTCTCCAACATGGTTCCCGGCTCCTCAGCAGAGATTTTTAGAAACTGACTTATGGAAAAGCAAGGCTGTTAGCAGTTCCAAAGGAAAGCTAAGACTGATTAACAGAGGGCTGACCTGGCAGACGTGTCTGTGTTGTCATCTTTACAAGGACACAGGGACTTGGGGAATCAAAGCTAGAGTATCAGGACCTCTCTTTCACATGGGTCTGTGAAGGGGGACTCTCAAACCTTTTTAAAGAAAATACATAAAAAGATGAAAACTTTGAAAATGTTGAACTGAGTTCAATATACATGTAAATGATACAAAAGGGTATTCACGTGGTTGCCTGTTTGCACTCAGCCCCGTTGCCTATTGTAGAAGGTGACATTCTATGGTACTATTTGCTGCCTGGGTGGCCTTAAGCAAGATCCTTAACCTCAGAGCCTCAGTTTCCTCTTTTGTATAATGGGAAGAATATATTTTTTTTTTTTTTGAGACGGAGTCCCGCTCTTTAGCCCAGGCCGGATTGCAGTGGCACAATCTCGGCTCACTGCAAGCTCCGCCTCCCAGGTTCACGCCATTCTCCTGCCTCAGCCTCCCGAATGGGAAGAATCTTAATACCATCTTTCAGTTGTTCCAAGGATAAGTGAGATAAACTGTAGGAAGTTTCCAGCACAGAACAGGCTCTCAAAAAATGCCTCTTTCCTTCTCCCACACACAGAAGAGTAATACAGGGGAGGCACACTTGAAAAAGTCAAGAACCAGGCAAGCACTAGACAACAAGGTAAGGAAACAATAAAGAAATGTCTTAGGGAAATGTCATGATTAGGTATCGGGTAAGGGTACAGTTAACACAAGGAGAGATTATTGTCTAGGTGAAAACATACAATCTTTCACAATATAGAGCAAAAGAGAGATACTGAAGAATTCTTAAAGCTTTAAAGTCATAATATGGTTCAACCCCAGTGTGAAAACTGCTGGTTAAAGAAAATACGAGATTTTAGGGGACAGAGAACAAGGCATGACCCCAGGCTCAGTATGGAAATGACAAAGACCCGAGATTACCTGGACTGTGAAAGTCCAACTGTTAAGAACCATTCTTCTGGGAAATTTGGGTGGAAGACTATAGGGAAGGCCTGAGATCAAGGGTTCAATATATAAAGGAATCACTTCATACATTTTATAAAATGGCAAAGGCAAAAATGGAAAGGGGCACAGAGACCAATAGAGTTAAGGACTTACGGGAGAATATGTAAGAAATAAGTTAGACACAGTAAAAAGAATTGTCGCACAGCAATTAATGATAAAATCGAGGCCATTTAGTAAAAAATAAGAAAAAATCTTTATAAGGAAGCACAGAGGGACCCAGAAAATGGATGAGGGATACTTTGTGCTCTGAGGCCTCTTTATTTAGCGAGTCTCCAAATGTAATATCTTTAAATTAATAGAGTATGATGGAGAGAGGGGAAAAGCCAGAAACAGGCAGTAGAATGGGCATGGAGAGAAGTAAGGCTGGCATTCAGGAAACAATGTCATTCCTCCAAGGTGTTTTCAGGGCTTTGTTTGGGGCAGCTCAGTTTACATATTATTGCTAACATATTCTCCAGTTCACACCATGAAGGCACCAACCACCACCCCTGACCCATGAGGGAGGGCCTCAAGGGAGGAAACCAAAACCGCTAAGCACCATCAGCCAGGCTTGTGGCATTTCTGGAAACAGCCAAGTCGACACTGGGCTGTGGGGGTTGGCATCTACTTTTGTATCATTTCTCTCATTAGTACATCCAAAGCGTGTCAAGTGCCTGCCGTGTCCAGGCACGGTGCTGGGAGATGGGCCCACCATGCCCTGCCTACAGAGTCCTTAATTCTGGAGGGGAAACAGACAGGCAAACAGCTGTCATACAACATGATCACTGCCCAGGGGGGCACAGGAGAAGGTCAGGACTGAACAGAACAGTCCTTGGAGGTCATCTGGTCTACCGATTTCTTTTACAGAAGAAGAAACAGAGGCCAAAAGAGATGAAGTGGCTCGTAGAAAGCCATCAGGCAGAGGCTTATAGAAGCTAATGTAAATGCTTGCTCAATATGCTGCTACAAAATCAGTTTTATTTCTGTAAGCACTTTGGTAGCCTCTGAGATAGTGTCCTACGGCATCAGTAGAGTGTCATATTTCAAAGTAATATTTCTGATATTTTTAGCAAATAGATTCCACAGGTTTAATAACAATGCATCCACTTGCCCTCTCTCTGGCCTCATTACCCACCTTAAATGATTAGGCAAATTCATCCCAAAAATAAGTGGGGAAACTGAGGAAGCCAAAGCATGCTTGGCAGTTGAGTACAGATGATATCCCAATGAGCATATATCCATTTTCTCCTGAAGTTGGTGTTTCATTCCCATGCATGTCTTATGGTTGATCCCTAGGCTATATATGGCATATATTGCAAGTTTTAAAATCTTATATAAATGGTATCATCGTGTCTCTAGGAATTTTCTTAACTCCCTTCCCTTAGCCATGCTGCTGACTGCCCCGGTCCACCAAGACTATCCATTAGGTTAACACTGGCTCTGTTTTGAAGCTTCCATCATAAAGGGCAGAGATCCGAGTGAAGATTGTGCCGAAGAAAGACACCACCACCAACCATGTTTCTACTAATCAAGAGTAAAGTTTGAACTTGCGGGGACTCATATCCATCTTGTGGTCTTTTCCCCTGGGCTAAAAGTGGTGCTTGATACCCACTGGTTTCCAAAGGAGAAACAGCATATGGGATTCTAAAGGCAGAAAAACTCAAGAGTCATTACATGAGTGTGTTCTCAATTGAGTGCCCTAGAGTAAATAGTAATTACATGTTCCTTCAAGATTACTATTAGCCTGAGATGGGGAAAGAAGAGTCATGGATGGCTGACCACAATACTCCTTCCTAATGTGCACACGTGTGCACAAACACCCAGGCTGGTCACAAGTCTGGATTTGGAATTTTCCCCAAGAACCTGATGTTAGTTCTCCAAGTCCCTTGAAATATACAAATGGCACCCCTCAGAGGCATGAGAAATTGCCCATGCTTATTCCTATTCTTCTTTCCTTGCAAAGTACTCCCCAAAGATGCACCATCAAATATGTGGCAAACAAGCAACCCCACTTTAGCTATGCTACGCAGGGAAGAGGAATTGGCCCTGTGCAGAGATGACACTCCAGTGGTTCTGAATGCTTAGGACAGCAAAGACAAGCCATGTTAAATGGCATCCCACCTTCACATCTGGACTGCAGCAGCCTGTGGATGTTTTAGGTTATGGAGAGCAGATTTCCATGAGAGGAAAAAGGCTTGGCCAGGTCACCCCAAAGCCCAGACAGGCAATGGAAGGATGCTCACTTGGTCATCGGATATGGGAGTGGAGTCCCCTTCAGCAGAGAATTGTAAAGGATGAGAGCATGTTTTAAACCACCTGTAGATGCTTGTGCACACATGTGCACATTAGGGGTATTGTGGTCAGCCATCCGTGACTCAATATAGCATCTTCTGCTATACTGGCAAGCTGTCCGGGGGACTCTGGGAGGAATGTAGGAACTTTGAAAGTTTCCTCTTTCTTGGCCTTTCTGGCACCAGGCCCTGCAAAATGATGATAACAGCCAAAATGTCATCATCCTCACCCACAGCAGTGGCTTTGAGGGTTTATTATCCAGCAGGTACTATTCAAGGGACTTACACAGGGCTCCTTTAATTCTCGCAACAACTCAGTGAAGGAGGTGTTCTTATAACCCATATTTTACAGATGAGGAAACTGAGTGTGAAGTGGAGAGGCTGGGACAGTTGCCCAAGGTCACAACTGTTACAACGTGGATAAGGCTCTAGTAGCTTGGCGCTGAAGCCTGCTTTTCACCAAAACTGTTTCATGGAGGTCACCATTAGGGGGAATCATTTAGTCTAAAACTGGCAAGCACTTCCAGTTTTAAAGGAATGTTTATCCTCTGATTTTTATTTTGCTTCACACCAGTGCTGGGAGACACTCAGAGGAGGTGTCAGCCCCACTCGGCAGGTGAAGGAATTAAGCTACAGTGAAGTTAAGAACTTGCAGAGGTCACCCCGTTTGGCAACTCCCCTCCCAAACCTCAACTGTGCTCCTCGCTTCCAACTCTGCTAAAGGACTTTTAGCAAACCTGGAGCCCAGGTGTTGGGCCTCTCCAGACACGTACAAGCCTAGGTGCGACTGCTGGGGTGGAAGACTGGGGAAGGAGGAAAATTAAAGCCACAGAGGTACAAAACTAGGGTCTCTACAAATTAAAGCCAAAATTTAAAATGCAGAGTTTGGAAACTTGTTTTTGAAAAAGGAACCCTGACAGTTTTCCACTAACCCCTAGAGGTGCTTATAGACAGGGGAAGGTGAGGACAGAAAACAAACCAAGGAGAATGATGCTAAAGCCACACAGCACAAGAAAAGCCACATCTGGGCCCAAGGCCTTGGATGAGAGGAACACAGGCTGGATAACCTATCTTACTGGTGATATTAGGAGAACAATGGCCTGGGTTCATCATCTAAAAATGTAAACTTATAGAGCTGGAGAGCCTAAGAGATCTCTCCCAGTGGCTCATTTTATAATTAAGGAAACTGTGGTCCTGAAAGCATCAGCACCTGAATTACCAGCAATCCTGAGGTTGGAACTGGGCTGGACCGCCTGGTACCCGCCTCCTTCCACAGCACACTGGGCCATCCTTCCGACTACCGGAGCCCGCGGGCGGAAGCGGTCTCCAACACTGGGCCTCTTTCCAGTTGACTTTATTTTTTAACTTTTTATTTCAAAATAATGACAGATTCACAGGGAGTAGCAAAGAAAATCTATGAGGAGGCCCTAGGCACCCTTCATTGTGCCTTCCCCCAGCTGACCTGTGTGCATATAAAGTCCACAATTTTAATATAACCCCAGATGCACATGGGATGATAGGTTCCTTCCTGAGACCGACTTAGGAGCAAACAATCCATTTCTTTCTCATATCTTATCCTACCATTGTTGCCGTAAACCCTAAAACACACACACACACACACACACACACACACACACACACACACACACAGAGCCTAATCAGCAATAATTTTACTCCTGAATATTGCTAGAAAGATCACTAAGCCAAGCTAATCAATTGTCTTAGCCAGCCACTTGTCCCCAAGAGATGCCTAGACTTTTCATTGCTGTCATTTAACCCTCAGCAGCCTGAGTTTTTATCCCCTGTCTTCCAAACGAGAGCAGAAAAACTGTTGTGGGAAGAATCCCGTACCCAAAATGATGTTCATAACTTGACACCTTTCAAAAGCCTTGTCTGTGCTAATGGAAGCAGACACTTTGGAAAACTTCAGAAGGAAGGTCTTCCTCTCATGTGTACCACCCGGGACCAGAGTGGTTAAAGCAAGAAGAGGAGCACAGGGGGCCCTACAGAGTTTGAACAGCTAGAGGAAGCAGGTATGGCTCAGAAAGGGGAGAGGAGAGAGCATGACAAATGAGGGAAATATTCACAGGAGAGATACCAGTTTAGCAATTAAATTTGACATCGACTTAGACAAAGCTTCTTCACTGAACAGAATAAAATTCCTGGGAAGATTTGTGCACATATGATAAAAGACTCATCTCATTTTTTTTTCCTGGACAGAGGAACATGAAAGCAGGAGAGAGGGACAGAGAGGAGAGAAGGATAGGGGCAAGGACCATGATCAATGAGTCACGAGCTGACCTAGTAGTGAAAGCAGGTGGACATCCATAGCATCAAATCCCTCCTGCTGTGATGAAGTGACTAGAAGTGGCCCCATGAAGAAAGAACTTCTGCAATTCACTCTGCATGTGTTTACTGAACACATACTATGTGCCAGGCACTGCACTAGGCACTGGGGAATTTCAAAGGTGAATAATGAGGCAAAAAGGGAGATAGTGACTACTACTAATTGTACTACTACTATGACTACTACCAACTGCTAGGAGCAGGAGCAGAGGGGAGGGAGTGAGGATATGGGACACTTTGTAAGTTTGGATGGCACTGGGATTCATATTCCAGTCCCCTGCTTCAATCAGGAAACAATGGCTTAACAGTGAGCAAAGAAAAGGAAGAGAGAGCATTGCCTGGCCGCATCGTGAGTCCCTGCATGGGAACAAGGAGTACTGAGGGTCTCAGGACTGCAGACATCCCACGAGAGGACACCTCTTGCAGGAACTCCAGTGATGGAGTTTGGATTCATTTGTCAAGTGATCGTGTCAAGAGGGAGGAGGCCAAAGCAGTCACCAGCTGCCCTATAAAAGCAGCCCTGTTGGTTGCACAGCCAGGACTGGTCTGGCCTGCTCTGTAGGCAGAGCCTAAACTGCCCTCTGAGAATGTGGGGTGGAGGGGGTGCAGCAGTGACTTGGAGACCCAAGAACAAAAGTGCTCACTGGAATGTGAGCCAGGGCCAAGAAACTTAAGAAAATTCTCTTTCTACAGAGGGAAAAGAGTCACAGCTTCCTCTGACTGAGGAGTGATGCCCAAAGCCCAGGTCACATCCTCTGCTCTCCCATAGTGGTTTAAACAGTGCTGTAAGGTCCTGGGTTCTTCTCAGGTTAGAGGGCTTCCTCATGGAATAGCCCACTGGAGGATGAAGCTGCATGTCTTGCTGACACAGAGCTCTGCATGGCCAACTTTCAGGAAAAATATCCCCTTAGTGGAAGGTGTGGGAGCCTGTCTTTAATGGTGTGACATGATGTGTGCAGAAGCGAGTGCTCCGTGCTGAACAAATAAAAGTGTCAACACCTATTGGGCCCAGGGCTAAGCACTTCACGTGCGTTTCATCTTCCCAACAACCCTATGAGGTTGATCCTATTGTTATCCCCATTTTGCAGATGGGAAAAGTGAGACCCTGAGGGGTTTCGTAACTCAAGTCTCATAACTGAGAAAGGTGAGCGCCAGGATTTGAACCCTGGCTGTCTGACTTGGAAGGCGCATGCTTAACTGCAGCTCTCTACTGTCCGTAGAGCACGGGTCAGGGCAAGAGGGCAGGAATTATCAACGATGAGGCAGGCTAACAAAGAGAAATGAAGCATGGACTCTCCTCGGTGGAGCTCCTGGCCTAATGAGGGAGACACAGAAGCATAGCACAGGGGGTGAATGCAGTCATGGAGGGAGACCAGGCGAGGACCTCGAAAGCCCCAGGAAAAGGGAGAAGGTGCCCCAGAAGAGCTGATCTAGACGTGTTATAGATGCCACCTTGACTTGAAAGGAGAAATACAAGACTCACAGGGCACTGAGCTTGAAGCACTAAAGAAAGAACAGTGCCCAAGTACAGGCGAAATAAAAAGCCAGGGGATGCTGTAGAAAAAAAGTTGGCACCCTGGTGCCTCTGCTGACCTCATGAAACAGGGAAAAAAGGCCCACGTGAAACAAATAGAAACTGCTCACTTGGTTGGTGGCAGAAAAAAGGATGTGTGTTCACAGAGCATGCAGAATCCCCTTGTATCAGGGATTCCTGCCCTCCCTTTCCAAGCTGAAGAAGGAAATCTCTCTCCAGGGGAGCCAGGGCCTGTTTCGGCAGCCATATGGCTCTGACTTTCCCTGGAGTAGGAGGGGAGAGAGAGGCCAGAATGCTTGCCGGGACTTAGACTTCTGACCTCAGCTTGGCCTTGACATTGCTCGACCTTGGCCAAGTTGCTTCTCTGGCTGGAGACCAGAGAGTTCTTCACCTGCCTTTACCTGGGAACAGTGAGCCAGGCGGACTTTGAGGGCCTCACGTGAAGAAAGCCAGCAGGAGAACCAAGGGATTCAGACCCAAACACATCACAGTGGGAAAAGGGTCCTGTGGAGATGTTAATTGGTGTGCTAAAGGGGAAGACTGAGCCCTCGGCACTCCAGGGGCATGACCAAAGTGGGAGAGAATCCATTTCTCTGGCCCCACCAGACGACACAGGAGCTCCCTAGCTGCTAGCAAATTGAGCCATACTCCTATCTCTATGTTCTCACCTCCGAACTGGAGCAGGAGAAGCGATCTGGGGAGTTGAAGGCACACAGCCCCTCCAGGCCCTTAGCAAACTGAGGGGTGCATCAGCTGTAGGGGGATTGGAAGGGACACTCTTTTCTGAGCAAATCAGCTGACTTCAGCTTCAGAGCTTGCACCACAGTTGCCATTTTTGCTTTGTGGAATGACTCCCCTCTCTCCAGCTCCACACTGCCTTCCACTTTGCAAGCACAGAAGTTGTACAGAAGCCTGAAAATGCTGATGGCTTAACTGGTTTAATTTTTTTTTTCCCAACAGCCCTGAGGGGTTTTAACTCTTTCCTCCTGCAGAAACCCTGCTTTTGGAGTTGAATGTTTAAACTCTCACTGGGAGACTCATAAATATTCGGAGTCACTCTCTCCCTCTCTGTTTGATTAGGAAATGAGCCTTTAACTCAATGTAATCCCCAAGCCATTAACAAAAAAGCCCTCCACCGCTCCACTATTAGAATTTCACTCTTAACCCGCTGAGGATTGAATTAGATTAACATAACTACCCACAATCTGAGTTTATTTTCTGTGCCAGATAGAAATGTGTTTTCAAGAAAGGCGAAAAGGGGGAGGGAAAGCAGGAGGGACAGAAAGAGTGGGAGGATAATGAAATGTAAAAATAGAGATAAGAAAAAGATGGACAGATATACTGTAGAAGTGAAGTGATAGGGAAAAAGCTGCTCGTGGTCTTTGGTTTTAAAATCCTGCCAGCTGCCATTTTAATTGATGGGGTATTTGGAGAGGCCTCAACTATGTAAAATCGTTTGAATTAGGGGAGCACTTTCCAGGTATTTGTGATTCCCTCTTCCTGCACCTGAGCCTGCTGCATTCCAAAGCACCTGCTCATTGCCCCCACTGTCCCCAATTTGGGAGGAGGTCAGGACTGGATTCCTATGTGTTCGAGGGCGGTGGGGGGAACCCATAAAACAACAGTGCATGCACACAGGAAACTGCTCATTTACATTCAGAGAAATAAACAATGACAAGGATGGAATGGTTAGATTTTGCAGACATGAAGTCACAGACAGCCCCGTGACCAATTGCATTTAAGAAATCAGTTTGAAAAAAAAAATGAATTTGATGGGAGCTCAAACCACATAAAATTAATAGTTATTGAAGCAGAAACTAAGTAATCAGAGGCTGTCTCATGCAAATACACTGAAGTTTCCCTGAACTGCATCTCTATAACTAAGCCCGATGGGCCAAACCACACCCTGAACTTGAGGATGAAAGCCAGGCCCTCTATCACACGGTCAGACAAGCCCCTATCTCACCTGAAAGGATCTACACGTAGCCCAGGGAAGAGGCAGTTTTTAGCTAAATGTCCCAACAAAATATTCTTCTGTCTGACCATTAAGGCTCTGAGAACACAGGACTTGCTCAGGAATGCGGGACTCTCTCCCACTGCATTTAATCCTGACACACTGGGCCTGCACAGTGGGCCAGGCAGGCTCCAGTGTGCAGGTTGGGGAGGGGAGGTAGAATTTGTTCTTGTACTAAAAGGCATTTTTAAAAGCCACATTTTTTCTCAAAAGCCATTGAGATCTGAAAGTCCTAGAAGTTCAGCTTTGCCAATAGCAATCTTCTCTGATTTCTGAATGCAATGTCTCAATCA
Source organism: Homo sapiens (assembly GCF_000001405.40). Lineage (NCBI taxonomy): Eukaryota > Metazoa > Chordata > Mammalia > Primates > Hominidae > Homo > Homo sapiens. The sequence continues at coordinate 76,312,773 of NC_000014.9, read as the reverse complement.
CTTCATTCACTTGAGCTTTAATTAACAATAATCCACCAAATCCCACTTCAGCATTATGGTGAAAAAACCTTAGCAGGACATATTTACCAAAATAGAGGCCCTCATAATAGGAAGAATAATAATGCTATATGTATAAGACACTTTAACTCCTAGTTGGCGTTTGTCCCCCTCTGGAGTTCTTAGACTTCACCGTCTATACTAGATCTTAAATAGTGACATTTACCCCCTTGTACGCCATACTCCTTGTTCTGAATTTCTCCACTACTGAATGCGGTCTTACTGGCTGAACATGGGACGTTTGCCTTCTAATTTCTCATTGCTTCCTGATCCCCACTCTCCCGTCCAAAATAATGAATGAATGGATTAAAGATATTAATAACCCTAAACAAAATACAGCTGAAAACATGGAACCAGAAAAAGGAAAGTTAAAGTTTCAGAACAGTCAAAATAAAAATGATATCAAATTGCTTCTCTAAACATACGTGTGTATATCCATATTTATTTAACTTTCATCGAGTTAGATGAAACTAACTGGTTTCATGCTGGTAAAACTATTTTTGTTTGTAATCAATCAAAAATAATACAGGCATATCTGCTTTGTTTAATGCTTTTAAATTGTTGGAAAGATTGTTTCTTTGTAGGATATTGTTCTCCCAAACAAATCAAGGAGTCCTCAGTCATATAGCATATGGTATCCATTGGATAAATAGAAACTCATGGTTAAAAAAAAAAAAAGGTACATTTAAAAAGTTGTACTTAAGTATAAATTAGGCATCATTACTTTTTTTTTTTTTTTTTTCAAAATGTAGGGCTACTTTTCCTTTGTAAATTCTATAAAGCAAATCTTCCCAAGTACAGGATTTCGGGTGAATACTATTCAATATCCAGAAACTAAAGTCCCAAACGTTGCACGGGAAGCTCGTGGCAGGTAAGCCCCGTGGACACAGGACTGTGGCCGGGAAGGCCCCATCTAGAGCCGCCCGAGGTGCACTCAGAGCCGGCACACTATTCGAATTGTCTGAAACAAGCACAGCTTTGACAAGCCTCACGATATTAAGTTTCTTCCTTTGCGAAGGATGCAGAGCAAAGCAGTCAACAGCCCTCCCTCCACACCTGGCTTTGGCCTGGGACTCTTCCTCCCAGTCCCCAGCCAAGTTCCCTTTCAGGATTAAGAAAATACACCAAATGAGGGAGCCAATGACAGCCTGTAAGGCAGGACAAATCCTCAGCTCTCATCGTGACTTCTCAAAGCAAACTTGCTCCGCGGAGGGGAGAGGGAAAATCATTTACTTTAAGGTGCTATAGAAAACTGGTCATCGGGACTGTGGGGAGTCTCCCTGAACCTGGAAGCTCCCAGGTTGAAACCAAAACTTCCAGGAGCTCCCATCATTACCTGTCCTGTGGGCACTGGGTCTTCTTGGGTAACCTTCCCCAGCTTGCCCTACACCGGAGCTGCCAGCAAATAAAAGTTTTCACGCTGGGCGACATCGCTACCCTGCTGAGCTGCATGTAAACTTTCCCTTGCCCTTCTGATGTACTTACTTTTTTCTCAGTGAAAACAAACAAAAATCAAAGGGAACTCACTGCTTCCAAATGAGTTTGTGTCACCGTCCCACCTAGCCATCCAGAGACCCTCTGACCTTCCTGTGACAGTCTAAGAAAGGCAACGTTTTCCTCTCGGCCACACAGGGATGCTTTAGAGTGCGGAAAACCAGGATGAAAGAACAGGCATGGGGAGATATTTTTATCCATTGAGAGAGAGAGAGAGAGAGAGAGAGAGAGAGAGAGAGAGAGAAAGGGGACAGAAAAGGACCCGCAGAGTCTGGGGAGGAGAAAGGGAGAAGTTGGGTTACTCACATGCTTGGGGCTGGCGTGGAGGACGAGGACTGGGCTGGGGTGGAATGTGCGGCCCCTCAGGTGCTTTCAGTTGCTGATAACTCGTTGCTCCGCTCCTCCGGTACCAGCTGACAGTCCCCTGTCTGTGTCTCTTTGTGACTAAGGACACAGTACTCCCAACCTATAAATAGATCCCGACTCCGTGATTGATATAACAGGCAGCTGACAAAAAAAAAAAAAAAAAAAAAAAAGTCTCACAACCATAACCAGGTCTTAAACAAAACAGCAAAAAGCTCTAGACTTCCAACTCCACCCAGCCCCATGCAGACTCCACAGCCACTGATGGACGCAGGAAAGTGTGGAAGAAAAATACACCATGAAGGGGAGGAGGAACTGGGGGAGGGCAAGTGAAAAGGGGGGATGTGTAAGACAATGACTTCTCTAGTGGTGTGCGGCCGTCACTTGGGGTCACAGGGGAGCTGGTGACTGATGGTCGGCAGAAAGCAAGGGGAGGAGCCAGGGCAGGAGGTCCTGACCTGGAGAAGGAGAGCCGCCCCCCTCCGGATCCTGAGCCCGTGGCCCTGTCAGGGCCCGAGTCAAAGTCCTGACTTGGGAGCATTCGTCAGCTCAAGTGCTTTCCACGAAAGTTTCCATTCCTCCTGCCAAATTAGGAGGCAGGGAGGGAATTCAGCTTTCCCAGCTCAGGGGCCAGGCAGGCTTCTTGGGGGCCATGCAGAAGGCTCCTGGAGGGTGAGAGAGGAAGTGCAGTTGCCTGGTGAGGCCAGGTCTTTGAAGAGGCCAAGAGATGGCGTTCCCAACAGAAGAACGGCCTGAAGTTGAAAGGCCCTGGGGGTGTTAATGTCTCTGCTTTCTCCAGAAAGATTTAGGACGTCAAGTCGTCTGAAAAGATTTCCTTTTTGGAGAACAAGCCCCGCTCTTTGGGGTACCGGAGGGTCTCTAAGAAGCACTGCCTGTCCCAGTTTCTACAAAGTTGGGGCCGCCTCTCTGGGATAGGCCAGTCCAGCTCTGAAAGCTGAGCCAAGGGGCTGTTTCTGGAAGTTGGAAGAATCATGGTGAAACGGCACAAGTATGGGCTGTTCAACAATTAACCAGGTGAGCATGCATTACCCCAGGGGGCTTCCCATCTGCCATCTGGAGACCCACTTGCTTTGACTACACAGGGTCACCTGTCTTGATTTTCTGGATTTCTTGTGCATGCTAAATGAGGCAGAATTTCAGGTGAGTTTCCCCTTCAAGAGGGGTCATAGGATGAACCCCTTGCTGGTATGGATAAGGGACAGGTACTTCATAATCCCTAAAACTTCCTGATCCCCAATTTTTAAAAGAAATGAAGTTGAACCTCCTCTTCATGTTAGATCTAATCCTTTACTCTCCAGGTTATCAGAAACTATGAGGATGGGGTGGTATCTAAGCTGTTGAAGTCAAAAACCTATTAAACGTGTAGGGCCTCCAATCTTTCCACCAGTAGCCTGCCATTGCAATATGAGCTCCAAGAAGGTAAAGACTATGTGTTTGTCTCATTCATCATCACATCCCCATAATACCTGATCTGTAGCAAGACCCTCCTGAGTATGGATTGATTGACTGACTAATTGAATGAAAGAGTGATACTTAAGATACTGTCATTTGAGCCACTCCTTTGGACTAAGTAAGATACTCTCTAGAAATGTCTGTATCATAAGAGTGTCCCTAGGAAGGCCCAGAACTGGGAGTGAGACTTCAGGCAGATATAGTCAAACTGCTGTATTTTCACTCGCAGTTTTATCTGAGAACCACTGCCCTTCTGAGTACCAGGCCAGTGATGCCAGTGGTCAGCCACCAGGCACTCCTGTCTACTCAGGCCTGGCCACACACAGGGTTCCCTGCAAGTTTAGTTGCTGGAAAAGCAGATAACCCTGCAGAGACAGGGCTCTAGAGAGACTCCCATTCTGATGACTGGGGCTATAGCCACTTACACGCACATTCACCACCAGGCTCCTTCCCAGGGAAAAACCTTTCTCTTCTGATGCAAACTGAGGACTTCCCTCCATGATTTTCTTTCTCCTCCAACTCTTACCGAGCCCTCGCTGATCTCTGGCAGACATCCTGCAGCCCCTCCTAGGGCTTCCACAGCCCCCTAGCACAGCACCCTGTCTGTAGGAAGGGGTCAGTGTTTGGGTTGAACCCAGCCACCCCTCTCCCTAGGAAGCCCCTGTGGCACCTTTGTTTTGGCTTTTTATCTCAAGGTCGACCTCTGTATCATCTCACAGTCTGGTTCTCAACTCTGCCAACTGAACCAAGCCTTGGTGTCTGCCCCCTTGAAGCTGGCCTGGGGGCAGCAGGGGTCTGCTGGGACCAGCTGATAACCAGCGGCATTTCTCTCTGCTCACAGGGGCTCTCTCGAATGGCAGGTCATCATCTTAGGAGACCCCAGGCTTTTGCTTGCAGGAGACTCATCATGGCCTCACTTTCTCATCATAAAACCTCTCCAGCTTCAAGGGCCAGGCCTGCTAGTCCACTCGGAGCAGATGCACATCCGGACACACACCTCTGAGCCTGTCAGATGGGGCTGTTAAGCACAGGCTCTGGATCGGAACTCCCTGGGTTGGAATCTTGCCTCTTCCGCTTGTTATTGGGAAACTCTAGAAAAATTCCTTAGTATGTCTGTGCTTCAGTTTCCTCATCTGCAATGTGGGAATTCTAAGTGTCTATCTCATAGGATTGTCATGAGGACAAAATGACTCAACACAAAAGGATGCTTAGAATAATGCCTGGCCCATCCAGTGTCCTGCCTACCTGAGCCACATCACTCGATCTTGCCTTGGTTCTTCCCAAAAAACGGGAAGCGGCACTGGCAGGGCAAGTACCCCACGGCAAGGCGTGCTCTGGCCACAGAGCTGGCCAGAGGTCAGAGGTCAGGAAGAGAAGACCGCATGGGGACTTTTGGAGTTTTAGTGTGCCAGCCCAAAAGCAGGTGTAGAGAAGAACAGGAAGACCCAGAGGATTCCAAATCTGTCCCGGTTGCTGCACCTATCACAAAGGGCCAGGTTCATAATACACTCACTCCTCCCTACCCTGCTCCATTCTTTTTCCCCAGAGATGCCCTGGTGTCCCGGCACAGTTGAATATTCCACCTTTAGGCTGCCACTCAGCAGCTGGCCAGAACATGGCATTTAAAAAAAATGATCCAAATATCACTGCAACTTCAATTATTCCAGAGATGCTCTGCCCACCTGGTGTATTCTGGTGTCCCAGAACAGTTATATGTTCCACCCTGAGGCTACTACCACTCAGCAGTTGACCAGAACATGACATTTTTGAAAAAATCCAAATATCTCAGCAACCCCAGTTATTCAATGAGATTATGAGTTCTGCCTCCTCCTTCAAAGGTGATTCCAACTTTTCTAGAATTTCTTGAGTTTTCCTTCCTAATCCCTCCTTTTCAAAATTTTTTAGTGTGCAATATATACTTTTTCCTTTTTTCTTTTACAGATGGGATCTCGCTATGTTGCCCAGGCTAGTCTCAAGCTCCTGGGCTCCAGTGATCTTCCTGCCTCAGCCTCCCAAGTAGCTGGGACTACAGGCACATGCCACCATGCCAGCTGTCTTTTTCTTAATACTGTAAATTCATATGACATAAAATTCACTATTAATTTTTTTTATTGCACTGATAGGCTCTGAATTGTTCTGGAAATTTTATGGAATTAGATAGCTGGAATGCTCGCATAACATAGTAAATATACTAAAGCCCACTGGAAAAAAAATTTAATTGACACATAATAACTGTACATACATACAACATATAATAATCAAATCAGAGTATTTAGCATTTCTATAATCTTGAACATTCATTGTTTCTTCGTGGTGAGAACATTCAAGATCCTTTCTTCTAGCTATTTTGAAATATACCATCCAATATTGTTAGCTGTAACCATCTTTCTGTGCAATAGCACACCAGAACTTATTTCGCTTATTTAACTGAGACACTGTACCACTAACCAGTTGCTCCCCATCCACCCTTCCCACTCCTTTCCCCAGCCTCTGGTAACCACTATTTTACTCTCTACTTCTAAGAGGTCAGCTTTTTTAGATTCTGCATATGAGCAAATTCACCATTTTAAAGTATGCAGTTGAGTGGCGTTAAGCACACTCACAATGCTGCACACTGTGCAAACTATCACCACTGTTTAGTTCCGGAACATTTCATCACTCCCAAAGAGATCCCCGTACACATTAAGCAGGCACCTTCCATTCCCCCATTAGTCTGCTAGGGCTGCCATAGCAAAAGACCTCAGACTTGGTGGCTTAAACAAAAGGCATTTATTTCTCCTTAACATATGCATTTTGGAAACCCTAGCTTCCAGCAACCACATATCTGCTTTCTGCCTCTATGGATTTGCCTATTCTGTATATTTCATATAAACAACATCACACAATAAGCGGTCCCTTCCTAAACTCTTTACCGTGTGTCTATTCTGTAGAAACAAGGAGGCTGACCTTGCAGTACTTTTTGTTTTGCGTGGTCTGCCAGCCCCTTCGCCTACATCCAGCCCAGTTCTTAACCCCTAGGTCTGGGGGTGAGCCTCCCAGCCTAAGAAGTCAATGACCATTTGTGAACACGTGTTACGTACTAGCTGCTTCGCCCGGATTTTCTTGTCACATCCTCGGCACACCCCCACAGGGAGAATTATTACTTCTCGTATTAGTCTGCAAGGGCTGCAGAATAAAGTCGCCAAAACTGGGGGGCCTAAAACAACAGAAATGTATTGGCTCGTAGTTCTGGAGGCTGGAAGTCTGGGATTAAGGTGTCAGCAGGGTTGGTTCCTTCTGAGGGCTGTGAGGGAGAATCTGTTCCAGGTCTCGCTCTTAGCTTCTGGTGGTTGGCTGGCAGTCTTTGGGGTTCCTTGGCTTGTAGATGCACCATCATCCCAATTTCTGCCTTCAGCTTCACAGTACCTTAGCCCTGTGTGTGTTTCTGCCTCTGTGTCCAAATTTCCCCTTTTTATAAGGACACCAGTCATTGGAGGAGGGCCCACCCTAGTGACTTCATCTTAACTTGATCATCTGCAAAGACCTTATTTCCAAAGGTCACCTTCACAGGAACTGGGAGCCAGGACTTAAACATCATTGTGGGAGACACAGCTCAACCTAGAAGATCCCCTTGTACAGAGGAAGCAACTGAAAGTTCAGGAGGTCTGGCCCCTGGAATGAGACAGAGCTGTGTGTCACCACACAGAAAAGACACAGGCAGAGGGAGGTGGGCCCTTGACGGCTCCTCTCCGGCCGCAGGGATGTGTGCACCTCCACTGGCTCAGTGCCACCGGGCTCCATTTGGCTCACTCCAGCATCATTAGTCCCGGCACATCAAGGTGACTTTACATTGTTTACAAGGGCCACTGAAAGTGCAGTCATCCCCCTCCCACACTGTCTTATCAATTCATTTACTTTTCCGAATTCCCTAACATAGACCGCCAGCCAGGAGGGGTGGGCAAGGACCTGCAGTCCAGGAAGGGCCTGCCTCCACTTTATCTGGAAAGAAAAATCTATCTGCTTGGGGAGAGACCTAAATACAACACACCGGTGTGGCTAGGCCATTAATCATCTCTCGCCAGGACACAGGAGACCAGGAAGCAGCATTGTGGGCACGCTGGCTTTAAACTCAAGGACGAGGAAGCTCTGGGGACACTGCTGGGCGCACCATTTCCAGAGGGCATTCTACAGGTGTGTCAGGTGGAGATCACACAGTTTGATGCTGGTGACATCTTGCATGGGAAGAGGAGGCAGAAAGGGCAGATTGATGTCCCCAAAGGGTTCCCCAAAAGCAGGTGCTCACGCTGAAGTAAATACCCACTACCTGGTGGAAGCAGAATGCCTTTTGACCAGGAACCCATTTGCTGGGGAACTCTCCATGCCCAGCAGTTTGGCACATGCCTACAATCCCCTAGGGGATGGTGTATTCTTCTTAGAGGAAGGGGAGCTGCCAGAACAGGGACTCATGGAATAACAGGAGACCTAAGTCGACAAATCAAAGGCCCCCAGGCCCAGACTCCCTCTCCCCATTTCCACCACTTCCTTACTCCAGGAGACCCGCCCTGCTGCCCAGCCAGACTGCATGGCATCCCATAAACACGCTGTCCCAGCTAGGTGTGTTCCTGGCTCCACTGCCTCCCTTCTGTCTTATTTAATTTCTATTCATTCTTCAGGGCCCAGCTTAAGTGTGACATCTCACCTGTCCACTCCCTGTCCACAGCAGCCGTCACCTCAAATCTCCTCCCACCACCACCAACACGTCTCATCTGAGTGTATGTCACATCTCACATCACCTTGAGTAGTGTGCTGTCTTCTCACCTGTGTTTGTCTCAAGCTACAAAAAGGCAGTAATAATGGAACAACTGCTGTCATTCATTGAGCACTGTTGTGTGCTAAGTTCTGTGGAAAGCACCTGATCTACATCGCCTTATTTAAACCTTACAACTACCCTGATGGTCAGTAATTATTTTCTCCAGTTCATCAGCTGGGAAACTGGTAAGCCAAGTGGGCGAGTGACTTGCCCACTTCGGACAGTGGGTAGATGGTAGAGTTAGGACCAACCTCTGCCTGGCATGAAAGCCCGTGCTCATAGCCTTTCTGCTATGGCCCCCCACCCAAGTGGGGGGTACACAGTGACACTTCCTCATGGTGTTAGTGAACTAAAGCAATAGGATTTCCACCAAGAACGTAGCTGGAAGGGAATGCACAAAGAGAGATGGGTTTGCACTGGCTGGATGCACCCCGTGGGACATTTCCAGGGCTCAGCGCATATCTGTCATGGTTTGAGTCTTTTCCTCTGGCTGAGTAAGAGAAAGATCTTAGAACCTAATGACTGCTGGGAGATTTCCCAGTTATCAGATAGACCCCATGGGGAATAGTTAGATCTCCCTAGTCTTTCCTTCTGGATGGGATTTAAAGCAGGCAAAGAGAGGTGAGGGGCAGGAGAAGGACAAGGGAGGAAAGTTTAGGAAGTCTCAGAGCTGGGTGTGGACAAAGCTCGTGCTGGCCATGGATTCCAGCAGCTCTTCCCAGGCCTATGTCTTGTTCCTTATAAACTGGGGATAGGGAGACTGATGTCAAATCTGCTCTGTAAAATGGGAGGTTGAAAATACCTGTACAATCCTCATCAGCAAAAAACACGCTATTATTCTGCAGTTTTTCAGAGCTATCACTAGTATACTTTGGTCAAAAGCAGCCAGAATCTCACTGTGGCCAACTTAAGCAGAAATAGAATTTATTGAAATGATATAAGTCATTCATATTTTAAAAAGTCCCCTAAAGTCTGTCTGGGTGCGGTGGCTCAAGCCTGTAATCCCAGCACTTTGGGAAGCTGAAGTGGGTACTTAAGGTCAAGAGTTCAAGACTAGCCTGGCCAACACGGTGAAACCCTGTCTCTACTAAAAATATGAAATTAGCCAGGTGTGGTAGTGGGCGCCCGTAATCCTAGCTACCTGGGAGACTGAGGCAGGAGAATCACTTGAACCTGGGAAGCGGTGGTTGCAGTGAGCTGAGATTGCGCAACTGCACTCCAGCCTGGGTGACAGAGCAAGGCTTCATCTCAAAAACGAACAAACAAACAACAACAACAATAACAAAAGGAAAGACTGAGGAAACGAGGGTGGCTCCAGGGGTCTGAGAACAGAATGTGGTGGGTGGCTTCTTTAGGACACAGTCACTGGAATGAATGAGCTCCAAGCAACTGCCAACCCTGCTTCCTTCTGCTCAAAGGCCAAAAGCCCCAGGAAAGACAATGACCAGCTCAGCCTGGGTCATGTGATCACCTTGGGTGGTGAGGAGTTCGGAGAGGTTGACAGCTCACCAGGACTACGCACAATGGGAGAAAAGTAATTCCCCAGAAAGAGACTAGGGTCCTGTCACCTCTCCAAAAGGAAATGGATACTGGTACTCAAACTTTAAAAGTAGAAATTTTGCTGGGCCCAGTGGTTCATACCTGTAATCCCAGCACTTTGGGAGGCCGAGGCAGGTGGATCACAAGGTCAGGAGATCGAGACCATCCTGGCTAACATGGTGAAACCCTGTCTCTACTAGAAATACAAAAATTAACCGGGTGCGGAGGTGGGCGCCTGTAGTCCCAGCTACTCGGGAGGCTGAGGCAGGAGAATGGAGTGAACCCAGGAGGTAGAGCTTGCAGTGAGCCGAGATCCCGCCACTGCACTCCAGGATGGAGGACAGAGCAAGACTCCGTTTCTAAAAATAAATAAATAAATAAATAAATAAAAGTAGAAATTGTTCAGGACTCTCAGGAATATGAATTTACCAAATTGAAAAAAATCTCTGGGGATTTTGAGCCTTTTAAGGGATAGAGAGATTGATGGCAGCCCTCTACCATATCTCAGATAAGTTTCTGTTCTTCCTCCTGCCCCAAGATACCGGCTCCATCCAGCCCTGCAGCTAGCCCCTCTCCAGGACTCCATCCTATCAGTTCTCCCCTCCCACTCTCCCATCATTGATTCTCTCCAATGACTCCTTCCACAAAACTTATTGAAATGCTTTAAAGTCCACTCTATTCAAAATCAAAACAAAACAAAACTGCACTGTGTTGGACCCTGCCTTCCCCTCAGTCTATTTCCCTTCATTGTGCAATGTCACCCCCCTGGACCATGGATCTTTTAGATTCTTATTTAAGTCTCCCTTCTACATGTGGCCACGTTCATAACCAGGTAACTGCATTAAATGCAGGGTGCTCAAAACCAGATTTATCATCTTCTTCTATAAACACACTCTTCTGCCTGTGTTCCCTCTTAACTAACAGTACCATCATCCATCTCATTCCCCAAACTGGAAGCCTCCAAGTCATCCTTAACTCCTCTGTCTCCCTCCACATCTAATTAGCCACCAAGTCTAATCACCAGGATATGGTCAAATTTGAACTCATTCCTTCCCTCCTAGCAGGTGTGAGGTGATATTGTGGTTCTGATTTGCATTTCCCTGATTATTAGTGTTGTTTAGCCTCTTTTCACGTATTGTTGGCTATCTGTATATCTTCTTTAGAGAAGTGTCTACTCAAGTCCTTTGCCCATTTTAAAATCAAGTTATTGGCGGGCAAGGTGGCTCATGCCTGTAATTCCAGCACTTTGTGAGGCGGAGGTGGGGAATCACCTAAGGTCAGGAGTTTGAGACCAGCCTGGCCAGCATGGTAAAACCCCGTTCCTAATAATAATACCAAAAAATTAGCTGGGCGTGGTGGCTCATGCTTGTAATCCCACCTACTTGGAAGGCTGAGGCAGGAGAATCTCTTGAACCCAGGAGGCAGAGTTTGCAGTGATCCATTGCACTCCAGCATGAGAGACAAGAATGAAACTCTGTCTCAAAAATCAATCAATCAATCAATCAAACAAGTTATTTGTTCTTGTTTCAGCTGTTGAGTTGTAGGAGTTTCTTGGGTATTCTGGATAGTAATCCCTTATCGGATATATGGTCTGCAAATAGTTTCTCCCACTCTACAGGTTGCCTTTTCACTCTGTTGATTGTTTACTTCGCTGCATGGATTTTTAGTTTGATATGATCCTACGTGTCTAATTTTGCTTTTGTTGCCTGTGCTTTTGGTGTCAAATCCAAGAAATCATTGCCAATTTTTTCTCCTATGTTTTCTTTTGGAGATTTACAGTTCCAGATCTTGCATTTAAATCTTTAATCGATGTTGAGTTGATTTTTGAGTATAGTGTAAGATAAGCATTCAATTTCATTCTTTTTCATATGCAAATCCAGTTTTCTCAACACCAGTTGTTGAAAGGATTGTCTTGTCCACATGTATTTTTGGACCCTTGTTAAGGATGAGTTGACCATACATACATGCATTTATTTCTGGGCTATCTATTCTATGCTATACCATGGTTTATATGTCTGTTTTTATGCCAGTACCACACCATACTGTTTTAATTTCTATAGATTTGTAGTATATTTTGAAATCAGGAAGTGTGATGCCTCCAGTTTTGTTCTTCTTGCTCAAGGTTGCTTTAGTTATTTGGGGTCTTTTGTGGTACCATATGAATTTTAGATTGTTTCTTCTATTTCTGTAAAAAATGCCATTGAGATTTTTGATAGGGATTGCATCAATACTGTAGATAGCTATGGATATATGGATATTTTTAACAATATTAAGTCTTCCAATCCATGACTACAGGATGGATTTCCATGTATTCGTGTCTTCCTTAATTTGTTTCATCAATGATTTGTACTTTTATTTTGAGACTGAGTCTCTTTCACCCAGGCTGGAGTGCAGTGGCATGATCTCAGTTCACTGCAACCTCTGCCTCCCTGTCTCAGTGATTCTCCTGCCTCAGCCTCCTGAGTAGCTGGGATTACAGGCTTGCACCACCACACCTGGCTAATTTTTGTATTTTTAGTAGAGATGGGGTTTCACCATGTTGGTCAGGCTGGTCTTGAAGTCCTGGCCTCAAATGATCTGCCCACCTTGGCCTCCCGAAGTGCTGGAATTACAGGCGTGAACCACCGCATCAGGCCAATGATTTGTAGTTTGTTTTTTTTTTTTTTTGAGATGGAGTCTCGCTCTGTCGCCCAGGCTGGAGTGCAGTGGCGCGATCTCCGCTCACTGCAAGCTCTGCCTCCTGGGTTCACGCCATTCTCCTGCCTCAGCCTCCCAAGTAGCTGGGACTACAGGTGCCCGCCACCACGCCTGGCTAATTTTTTGTATTTTTAGTAGACACGGGGTTTCACCACGTTAGCCAGGGTGGTCTCGATCTCCTGAACTTGTGATCCGCCCGCTTCAGCCTCCCAAAGATGATTTGTACTTTTTAGTGCACGGGTCTTTCACCTCCTTGGCTAAGTTTATCCCTAAGTATTTTATTCTTTTTGAAGCTATTGTAAATGTGATTGCTTTCTTAATTTCCTTTTCAGATAGTTTGTTGTTAGGATATAGAATCGCAACTAATTAAGCCAGGTGTGGCGGCTCCAGTCTATAATTCTAGCATTTTGGGAGGCTAAGGAAGGCAGATAGCCTGAGTCCCAGAGTTTGAGACCAGCTTGGGCAACATAGCCAAGCCCTGTCTCTACAAAAACTACAAAAAATTAGACAGATGTAGTGGCATACGCCTGTGGTCCCAAGCTACTTGGGAGGCTGAAGTAGGAGAATTGCTTGAGCCTGGGAGGCAGAGATTGCTGTCAGCCAAGATTGCACCACTGCACTCCAGTCTGGATGACAGAGTAAGACCCTGTCAAAAAAAAAAAAGAAGAAGAAGAAGAAGAAGAAGAAGAAAGAGAGGAAGGAAGGAAGGAGAGAGAGAGAGAGAGAGAGAGAGAGAGAGAGAGGAGAGAGAGAGAGAGAGAAAGAAAGAAAGAAAGAAAGAAAGAAAGAAAGAAAGAAAGAAAGAAAGAAAGAAGGAAAGAAAGAAGGAAGGAAGGAAGGAAAGAAGGAAAGAAAGAAAGAAAGAAAGAAAGAAAGAAAGAAAGAAAGAAAAAAAAAAGAAAGAAAGGCAACTGATTTTTGTATGTTAATCTTGTATCTTGAAACTTTATTAATTCTAACAGATTTGGGAGGATTTTTCTGTATATATTATGTCATCTGCAGAGATAACTTTGCTTCTTCCTTTCTGATTTCTATGCTTTTTGTCTCTTTTACTTGCCTAACTGCTCTGGCTAGGACTTCCAGTACTATGTTGAGCCAAGTGGTGAGAGTGGGCATCCTTGTCTTGTTAATTTTCTTGTTTAAAAATATCCAATGGTTCTTCATTTTCCATGGGATAAAATCCAAGTCCTTTGCTTTTCATAATTCAGATCTAACTCATATTCCTGGTCACATCTCTCGCCGCCCCCGGCACATGGTACTGTCTCCCTTGCACCACTGTGTTCTCTTTCATCCCTCTGCCTGAAATACACCATCGGCCTTCAAAACCCAGCTCCAGTGTCACCTCCTCTAGGAGCCTTTCCCTACTTCAGCCACTCCTCCCTCTGAACTCCTACAGGATTGTGGGACACACTCTCCTAGAACACATATCACACAGTACTGTAAAGATTTGTTCACACGTCAGTCTCCATCCCTGGGATGTAGCTCCTGGAGAATGAGGACTTGCTTTTTTCTTGTTTTTACCATCCTCTACCAACCAGTGCCTATCCCAGTTCCTGGCATTCACTAGGTGATCTATAAATGTTTGTTGAATGAATGAATGACAACGAATTAGGAAACATAGAGTAAATGGGTGAAGAGCAGGGTAAGAGATCAACATAGGATGAGTGAGAAATGGTCTGCAGGGTGTCAGATGAGAACGTTGTGCACTGCACAACTCCAGGAAGCACCATTCATATGGCAGTGCGTATGAATTTCCTAGAATTGGGCAGATCACAATGTGGGCAGGTACGTGCAGCAGCCCCATAGAAAGAACTGACTTAGGAAGGGATAGACCCTCTTCCAGGAGAAAAAGAACCAGCCACCAGTTAATATTTGAGTTGGAAGAGGCTTTTGGAGAAGAGAACGTAGATGGAAATGATAAAAGAGGCATTTGAGCAAGTGCAGCAGACATCATGGGTTGCGTTGTAGTCTTCCGGTTTTCCTGGCTGGCTGGGCCAATTACTGTAGACATTAAAAATACCAGGGGTTTCCCCAGCTTCCCTTATAGTTAGAGGTTTCCATGTGTCCCAGTCAAACAATGAGACTTAAGGGGGAGTTTGCTGGGGTGGAAGGGGAAGGCATTTGGGCAATATTTTCCTCCATGATAGAAAGAGAGACAGGGCAGGGGAAAGAGCCTCAGAAGCCATAGTGCAACCATAAAAAAGAAACTTGCAGAGGAAAAGCCAACATGCCGAGGACAGCAGAGCACAAGGATGGAAAATATGTGGGACCATGGCTCTCTGGTGACCCGCTGGGCCAAGAAACCAACCCTGGAATCACCTACTTCTTGTTATAGAAGACGATGCATGTTTCTATTTCTTAAATCACTATTTCCTTTTCATAGTCTCTCTGTTACTTGCATCCCAAAGCATTCTAACTGATAAACTAGGTGTGGTGCTACATATGGCAAATGGTGCTACATATGGCCCAGAGCCAATTAATATGAACTGCATGTAAACCAGTAGAAAAGCCCTGAGACCCCACAGGTTATGAATCTTAAAATGCAGCCGGGAGAGGTGGCTCACATCTGTAATCTCAGCACTTTGGGAGGTGAGGTGGGCAGATCACCTGAGTCCAGGAATTTGAGAGCAGCCTGGCCAACATGGTGAAACTCCATCTCTACTAAAAATACAAAAATCAGCAGGCCGTGGTGGCACATGACTGTAATCCCAGCTGCTTGGGAGGCTGAGGCAGGAGAATCAGTTGAACCTGGGAGGCAGAGGTTGCAGTGAGCCGAGATTGTGCCACTGCACTCCAGCTTGGGTGACAGAGACTCCATCTCAAAAAAAAAAAAAAAAAAAAAGAATCCCTAAAATGCAAACATTGGTAGAATAATGTCAATGGTGTGAATTCCATTTCACACTTTCAGTTATTCCATTTCTCTCTCTGTAATAAGTTGGCACCATTTTCCCTTTTATTTATTTTTTGAGATGGAGTCTTGCTCTGTCCCCCAGGCTCTGCAGTGACAGAATCTCGGCTGTCTGCAACCTCCACCTCCCAGGTTCAAGCGATTCTTGTGCCTCAGCCTCCTGAGTAGCTGGGATTACAGGCACGTGCCACCACATCCAGCTAATTTTTATATTTTTAGTAGATATGAGGTTTTACCATGTTGGCCAGGCTGGTCTTGAATTCCTGAACTCAAGGAATCCACCCACCTTGGCCTCCCAAAGTGCTGGGATTACAGCCATGAGCCATTGCCCCTGGCCACCGTCTTCCTTAAACCCCAAGCCCCACTTCCAAAAAATTATTGTCAGTCTTTGGGCTAGAAGAAAACCTGCCCATTTTGCAGCACTTTACACAATGATTCCCCATTGTTTCAGTCACAGTAGCCCCTGGGCATATGGGACAAGGTGAGGAAACACCCAGGGGACAAGTGTCAGCAATGAAGATGTCCTTTGTCTGTGAATCAGTTGGGCTGCAGGAGAGAGTTTCTTGGGGAGCTTCTTTTGCACCTGAGCACGTGTTATGTGCCAGGCACTGTTCTAAGCACTTTACATGTTCACTCATCTGATCCTCACAGCAGCCCCTGAAGTGGAGATACCATTATCATCCCATCTTACTGATTAAGAAACTGAGGCAGTGGGAGGTCCTGTAGCATTTCCACCTTGAAAGAGGCAGAGCTGGCATAGAAACCAAGTCAGTCCAGCTCCAGACCTACGTTTTCCCCCACAATCTGTTCAGTGATGGTGGCAACTGCCTTCTGGTTTTATGGTGATTAATCCGTGCCTCTCCAGGGAGAACCCTAGAGCTTTGGAAGGAGCAGACAGCCCTCTGTCTTGGTTTGCTTTGCTTGCATGTAAGGACTCTGCCGCCCTTCTGTTGGTTAACTCAAGGATGCAAATTTTCTAACTGGGCTTCCCTTCCAGCACTGACACACGGGAATGGGGGTAAGGAGTCACCATCTACCGCCTCGAGGACTACATGAGGCTGACTTAATACATAACTTGGAACTCCATAATCTAACCTCGTACATTGCTTGGTATTTGCCTTCGGTAGATTCAGAGGTAATTAAATTACCGTACAAGCAACTTTCAAGTCTGAGGAAAAGACTTGAACTAAAAGTAAAGCCTTACTAATTCAGACAAATGGGGGAGGCATGAAGGAAAACAAGAAGGAACTGTAGCTTTCCTTTCAAAAGAAACACATTTTTTACATTTCTAGCACTTACAATAAATCACACTAAACATTAATAGCAGCCAAATGGCGTTCTTGCTGAGTTTGGGTGAATGAATAAATAAAACTAATTTTAATTAGCATATCCCTTGTATACAAATATCTTCTATTAATATACTTTTGAAAGCTTGTTGTTTGAAGGTTAAACATTCATTCACACATCCAACAGGCAGCGTGGAGTATCATCACAGAGAATCTACGATGTGCTACTGTGTGCTCTCTGCTAGAAACTGAAGGTAAGGAGATCAACAAGATTCAGACAGTATATCCTGGAAGAAGCTACAGACTAAGGAAAGATATATGCACAAATAAATAATGATACAATATGCTAGGAATATATTTATTAGGAATATATAGACAATGTACTGAGTGACTACAATTACGGAACAACTGACTCAGAGGAGGTAAAGGAAGGATTCACTGGGAAGGTAATCTTTGAGCTGGGTTTTGAAGGATGAATAACAGTCTGCCAGGAAGAGAAAAAGAGGAAATCAAGGGTGGCTGCAAGACAAGGGGCCAGAGTCATTCAGGGGTCTAGTGATAATGCTCCAAGGTGGCTAATCATCATTCGTAGGAGCTACGGCTGAAGTGTCACAAATTGTGACTTGTTGAATAGAAGCTTTTAATTTGATAATATAATGCAGAAAACATTTTAAATACAGAAACACTTTTAATACAGAAAAGCGCAAAAGGTAATGCTCATGTACTTGCCACCAGAATGAACAAATGTTATTCTTACGTCATTAGCTATGATTTTTTTTTTCCCCCAGAAATAAGACTTTGTGGCCAAGCGCAGTGGCTCATGCCTGTAATCCCAGCACTTTGGGAGGCTGAGGTGGGAGGATTGCCTGAGGCCAGCAGGTTGAGGCTGTGTGAGCTGAGATTGTGCCATTGCACTCCAGCTTAGGTGACAGAACAAGACCTTATCTTAAAAACTAAAACAAAAGCTTTGCATCATTAAGACACTGGCACTGCACCTCTGGTGTTCTGTCACCTTCTCTAGAGCTCCCTCCCTAACTGCCCTCTCCAGAGCAGACCCCTCTCCTTTCCTCTCTGGCGGGGCCTCTGTTTTTTCCTTATGGCATCTCCCACTGTGTGAGGTCACCTTGTGGTTTGCTGATGTGTCCTGTACCGTAAGGTCATCTCCATAGAAGAGATGCCTGGAAGGTCTTAGTCACTGTGGGGCTCCTCCATGCCTGCTGCATGTTTGGTGCTGATTTAATATGTGTAGAAGAAAGGAAGGAGGCCAGGCGCAGTGGCTCATGCCTGTGATCCCAGCACTTTGGGAGGCTGAAGCAGGTGGATCACCTGAGGTCAGGAGTTCGAGACCAGCCTGGCCAACGTGGTGAAACCCTGTCTCTACTAAAAATATAAAAATTAGCCAGGTGTGGTGGTGGGCACCTGTAATCCCAGCTACTCGGGAGGCTGAGGCCAGAGAATCACTTGAACCCAGGAGGCGGAGTTTGCAGTGAGCCGAGATGGCGCCATCACACTCCAGCCTGGGCAACAAGAGCAAAACTCTGTCTCAAAAAATTAAAGGAAAGAAGGAAAGGAGGGAGGGAAAAGGGAAAAGGGAAGAAGGGAGAGCTTGTAGGTTAGTGTGAACTCTTCTAGGAGGCAGAAATAGAATCTTCAAATGAAGGGACTGTAGCAAACAAGGGAGAATAATTCCATTGAATTCCACAAATATGTATTGAGCCTTACCAAGGTGCAGGGCTCTGTGGGAGGCACAGGGCAGGCTCATGACCTCCAGGAGTAACTGAGGCTCCTAAGAGCTCAGCCACCAGCTGACCCTGGGTTGGGGGTGATTCGGAGAGTGTTTGGCAGATTTGGGAACTCTGGGTCAGACTCCTAGGGCCAGAGACCAGGGTGTCAAAGCCTTTGTCAGTCACTATGGATCCAGAGGTGGGTAGGCTGGTGGCAGGTCTGACCTGGGCCTGAAACTTCACATTGTAACCAAGGCGACCAAGCAAGGTGAAAATGTTACAGGCAAATAGAAGAAATTGACATTCGGGGAAGGTGACAAGTTACACATTAAACCAGGGAGTGGGAGAAGGCAGAACCTCCCCCACAGCATAGCTCACAAGCCCTGCCTTTGTGCTCAGCATGGAGAATGAAGTCTCTCCCTTTCAGATATTAGCAGTTCCCTTCCTTGTATTTCTGGGAGGAGGCTTTGGGCTGGGAGTGTGACGACTTGGTATTAATAGAAGGTGATTCAGGAAGAAGAGTGAGCCCTGGCCCTTTCTCCTGAGAAATCCCCTTCCTTGACCACCTCACAGATACCATTCATTGAGTAAGTGTTTATTGAGCATCTGCTGTGAGCCAGGCATTGAGCTAAGGACCAGGGATACAGAGATGAATAAACCACTCTCACTGTTCTTAAGAAGGCAAATACATAAAAGGCAAAATATATACAGCACAGTAAATGCTAAGGCACAGGTAGGACCAAATGCCTTGGGTGGTGGGGTGTTTGACTGGAGTTGTTGGAATAGAATGTATGAGGAGGTGGGGTATTTGAGCTGGGCTTTGAGAGTGTAGAGGAGATTGCCAGGCATAGAGATGGGTAAGAGCATTTTCCAAGTAGTTATTTTAAAAGCATAAAAGGCCCTGGGGATGGACAGAGAAGGAATGGGAGGGGGAGGAAGTGGCAGGAACTAGTCCCTGGGCCTCAGATGCTCCACCTTGCCTGGACCTTGCCTGGCAGGTTCCTTCTCATTCAGAGCTCAGGCTCATGGTTCCCTCAGAGCAGCCTTACCTAACAACCCACCTATTTGTGTGTCTATAATTTACCTCAACACAGCTCAGCATGTAAGCGTGATGTTCTGTGTGTGCCATGCAGGTTAAGCTGTAACCCAGGGGCTGCCGGGACTCCCATCAGGAATGCATAGTGCAGGGCCAGGGTTGGTAATTAGTGGGGAGGCCCGTGGTCGGGGCGCCTCCTATTTGTGTCTAGATCCATGAACAACACATGGTTAAGCAGCATGGTGAAAGTCAGAGACTGATTTTGATGGGTAGCGGTCTGTGAACTATCACTGAGGGGAGTTCTCATGTGAGATTTTCTTTCTTTAAAGGTTTTTGAGATAGGGTCTCACTCTATCACCCAGGCTGGAATGCAGTGGCACCATCACGGCTCACTGCAGCCTCAACTTCCCGGGCTCAGGTGATCCTCCTACCTCAGCCTCCCAGGTAGTTGGGACTACAGGCTCGAGCCACCACACCTGGCTAATTTTTTGTATATTTATGTAGAGACTGGGTTTCACCATGTTGGCCAGGGTGGTCCGACTGCCTAACCATGTCCCCCCACACCGGTGTCTCTTCTCTTTTCTGCGCGTTTTCTCTGCCGCTACTGGAGCTTGCTCTGCCCAAAGCAGGTACCACCAGGAGGGTGAATGCCGCCGGGGGAATCCTCAGCCAATGGGCATGTGGGTCATTAGTGCAATGCCCCAGGCTCCCGGTCCTTTGGTGAAAAGACTCCAAAGTTTGCTCTACCCTCAGGCCCAGCTGCCCACAGCAGTAACATGCTCCTTAGCACACATTTTGCTGTCTTTTCTCTCTCCCCGGTTTTACTTTTCCTACCTCCTCACTGTCCTTTCTGAAATCATTTCCCACATAGAACATCTGTACCGAAGGGTTTGTCTTAGAGTCTGCTTATGGAGAAACCTAACTAAGACAATACCTGGGCTAGCTAAAATGTTGTGGAGATATTCTCTCTCCCTTGCACGCTCAGAGTGTAAGAATCCAGTGGGATCTGTGGGCTTTACTCACTGGGTGAGGCTCAGAGCCAGAACCCAACATGGTTCAATAACCAGCCAGCAGTGGATTCTGGAAAATTCTGGTTACCAGTGGGCTATACGGTACTAAGAATCCCACCTCTGGAATCTTGGTGTTTGCCTGAATGGACCCTCCAAGCAAAGAGCACTTGGAGTACCTAAAAGGGCAGAAAGGCGGGACTTCTCTGAGCCTCCAAAACACGTTGTGTGACTGTTTTTGTGCTTGCCTACCAGTAGAAAGTTAGTTCATAAATTTCTCTACGAGGACATAGTTTGGTCTGTGACTTGCTCCTTTTATAACATGATTATAAGAGGTTGTAGGGAAGTAGCTAATCCTCATTCTCTTCAAACTCCTCGAACATCTCAGCTGTGAGATTTCAGGCTTGGGACCCTGGTGGATAATAACACCCTCAACTAAGGCAGAGATGGGGGTTCGCTCCCTGCAGTGAGCTCAAGCGCCAGCCTGACCTTCAGGGCTGAGTTATACCCACAGATCTTTGTCTCCCCTCAAGCTGCCTTGTATTGTAGTTCCCAGAAAACAGCCTGGACCAAACGCAAGGGCAGGAGAGAAGGAACCTGCTTCTTCTGTTTCTGAAGGTGCCCCCTTCTCTTGGCACGTTTTTCCCCCTTTGGCTGAGTCTTTGTTAGAGAAGCCAACTCTCTAACTGTGAAGTACAGGAAAAATATAAAGTCATAAGATGGACAGGTCAGAAACCTTAGCCTCTTCTTGGAAATGTGTGGTCTAAAGCTGCCTTTGGCTCACACTGTGTGGCTACTGTTGAATTGTTTATGTGCCTGGTTGAGACAACCCCTACGTGTGCACTGGATCCCCTGGTACCCTTTGCCCAACCAAAGTCATTGCTCAAGTAATTCTCCCTTTCTCTCTGCATCACTGATTTCTCCCTTCTCATACCATCTCAAACATCATAGCAAACATGCTGTTATTTCCCCAGTTTTGTTTGTCTGTTTGCTTGTTTGTTTGGGGTTTTTTTTGCAAGGGGTGGTGGGAGGGGACAGGGTCTCACTCTGTTGCCCAGGCTAGAGTGCAGTGGTGTGATCATGGCTCACTGCAGCCTTGAACACTCGGGGTCAAGCAATCCTCCCACCCACATAACTTGCTCACTGACCTCCTTAGTAACTGGAACTACAAGTGTGCACTACCACACTTGGCTAATTTTAAATTTTTTTGTAGAGATGGCATCTCACTATGCTGCCCAACTAGTCTCAAACTCCTGGCCTCAAGCCATCCTCCTACCTTGACCTCCCAAAACGTTGAGATTGCAGGCATGAGCCACCATGCCTGGCCTATTTCTCCAGTTTTTTTTTTTGAGACGGAGTCTTGCTCTGTCGCCCAGTCTGGAGTACAGTGGCACGATCTCAGCTCACTGCAAGCTCCGCCTCTCAGGTTCATGCAATTCTCCTACCTCAGCCTCCCCAATAGCTGGGACTACAGGCACCCACCACCACGCCAGGCTAATTTTTTTTTATTTTTAGTAGAGACGGGGTTTCACCGTGTTAGCCAGGATGGTCTCGATCTCCTGACCTCGTGACCCACCCGCCTCGGCCTCGCAAAGTGCTGGGATTACAGGCGTGAGCCACCGCGCCTGGCTATTTCTCCAGTTTTATAAAGTTCTGACCTCTCTTTCCAATGCAGTTTCTACCCCCTCTTCTTTGTCTACTTTATTGCAAAACTTCTTGGAAGAGTTGACCATACTCACTGTCTCCAATTTCTCTCCTGACAACCTCCTGTACATAACAGGCTTTCCTTCCTACCACGACACCAAACAGCTGTTATCAGAATCACCCATGGCCTCCACATCACTAATTCCAGTGGTCAGTTCCCCATCCTAACCTAATTGGGCCTCTCTGCAACACACTTGCCATAGCTGATCACTCCCTCCTGGGTATCACACTCTTCTCATTCTCCTGCTCCAGCTCTGGAGGCTGCTTCCTAATCTCCTTTGCTGGTTTCTCCTTATCTCCTGAACCTCTAAGAGCTGCAAAAGCCTGGAGATCAGTCCTGAGCCTTACCTCTTCTCTACCTACATGTATTCTCCTGGCCATCTCCTCAGGGATTGTAGCTTTAAATCCTTGCTATTGGCTGAGGCTCCTAAAGTTACATTCCCAGCCCAGTTCTCTTCCTCAAATATCATATTTTTATATCCAGTCATCTGATTCCACTCGAATGTCTAATAAACATTTCAAATTATGTCCAAGTTTTAGCTTCTGCTATCCCCATTCCTGCTTCCTGGAAACCTGCTGTTCTCATCTTAGTCAACGGTTTTTCAGTCTTCCAATTGCTCAGGCCAAAACCCTTGGAGTATCTTTGACTCTCCTCATTCTCACCCCATATGCAATCCTAGCACTTCTTCTTTTACACCCCGGTACAAGCTCTTCCCTACCTAGATTACTGCCTTCTAACGGGGCCCCTTGCTTCTGCCATTGTCCTCCCTCTTTCTAGTCACCATACAGTGACCAGAATGAACCTGCTAAATTGGAAGTTGGTCACGTCACTGCTATGCTTCAAACCCTTCCAGGGCTTCGCATCTCATGTAGACTAAAAGCTAAAGTCCTTTCAGGGAGCTCCAAGGTCCTCCATATATTGTCCCCATTTCCTCTCTGACTTTTTTTTTTTTTTTTTAAGACAGTAAGATAGAGTCTCACTCTGTCACCCAGGCTGGAGTGCAGTGGCACGATCACTGCTCACTGCAACCTCTGCCTCCTGGGCCCAAGCGATTCCTGTGCCTCAGCCTCCAAAGGAGCTGTGATTACAGGTGTGCACCACCACATATGGCTAATTTTTCTTTTTTTTTTTGTAATTTTAGTAGAGACGGGATTTCATCATGTTTGTCAGGCTGCTCTCAAACTCCTGACCTCAAGCTATCCTGACCTCAAGCCTCAGCCTCCCAAACTGCTGGGGTTACAGGTGTGAGCCATCGTGCCTGGCCCTCTCTGACCTATCTTCTACCATGCTCTCATCATTTACCTGCTGCAGCCACACTGGCCTCCTTGTTCTTCCTTCAACTCACTGGCTGTGCCCCTGCCTCGTGGCTTTTGCATTTACTGTTCCCTGTGCCTAGAATGTTCTTCCCCAGATACCCACATAACTTGTTCACTCACATCCATCAGGCCTTCATGCATACGAGACCTTCCCAGTGAGACTTTTCCTGCATATCCTATGCAAAATTATAACTCATTCCCCTAAACATTTCTATTTCTCTTTCTTATTTTCCCTAACACTTTTCATTTTGTCACACACTATATATTTTACTTAGTTATTTTGCTAATTGTCTATCTCTCCCACTGAAATATAAACACCACATTTTTGCTTTTTATTTATTACTATATCCCCAGCCCCTAAACAATGTCTGAAGCATAGTAGAAATTCAATAAATATTGTTCAGAAAATGTATGAATTCTAATCCTGGCTCAGAACCTAAACAACAGTTCTAGAGATTCTAAAAAAGAATATTGGGCCAGGTGTGCTGGCTCACGCCTGTAATCACAGCACTTTGGGAGGCTGAGGCAGGAGGATCGCTTGAGCCCAGGAGTTTGAGACCAGCCTGGGCAGCAAGGCAAGACCCTGTCTCTACAAAAAAAAAAGTCAAAAATTAGCTGGGTGTAAGGTGACCTGTTCCTGTAGTCCCAGATACCTGGGAGGCTGAGGCAGGCGAATCACTTGAGCCCAAGAAGCTGAGGCTGCAGTGAGCCATGATCACACCACTGCATTCCAGCCTGGGCAACAGAGTGAGACCCTGTCTCCAAAAAAAAAAAAAAAAAAGGAATATTGGTTATAGTCTGCTTCTCACTATAATAGAGTAGCTTGTATTCCACCAATGTTTCCACCAAGAATAAACAGAAAAGATGGATGAAACCCAAAACTGCTGGAAGGTATCGAAGAGCTTTCAAAACAGCTGAACATTGAAGACGGAGCTTGAAAATATCTCAAGCTCCCTCTTAGAAACTTTAGAAGACTACACCCTAAGAGGAAGGAACATCAAGGGTAGGCCAAGCCTTAATAAGTCTAAACCCACTTTGAATCATCTTAATCCTTGATGGCACTGAGGTGGTCTGCCCTGCTCTACCTGCCTTCCAGAGGAAAGAGTGAACCCTTTCTCGAGGGAGATAACATTTGATCACTCCCTCTATGACTGTTCTTATGCAAATCTGGTGTTCAATAAATTCTCCTGGCATACAAAAGAGGACAAAGCCAATAGAAACAGAGCTACTGATGACAGAGATATTTGCATTATTAGGCATGAACTTTTAAATAAATATAATGAAAATCTTCCAGAAAATAACTGACAAGATGGAGAAGTTCATCTCAGAATTGGAATTTATTAATTCTACCATTGAATAATACAATAACGAATTAAGAATTCGATACCTGGATTTAATAGCATAATAGACAAAAATGAAGAAAGGATTATTTTACGGGTAGATAGATCAGTTGGAAAAAAAATCAGACTAAAACACAAAGAAAAAACATGCAAAATATAAAAAGAGAGCAAAGGTGCACGAGAAATGGTGAAATGTTCTCAAACATGTGTCTCTGGAGTCCTAGAAGTGGAGAAGAGCCATAATTCATGGAAGCAATAAAAAAACAAAGACCTGGAATTTTCAAAATTGACAAATGACATCAAACCAAATATTCAAGAAGCACTGCAAACCCCAAGAAGGATAAATACAGAAGAAATCACATCCAAGCACATCCTAGTAAAACTTCTGAAAATTAAAGACAAAGGAATTTTAAAAGCAGTCATAGTAAAAATAAAAAAAATACATCTCCCTAAAAGGAGCAACAAGAAGTCTGACAGCTGACTTCTGAACATAAATGATGGAAACCAGAAGGCAAGAAATGGCATCTTTAAAGTGCTTAAAGAAAAGAAAGCCAACCTGGAATACTCAGTGAAAATATACTTCAAAAGTAAAAGTAACGTAATTACATTTTCAGAGAAACAAAAATAAATATTCCATTGTGGCTGGACCCACATTAAAAGGAACACTAAAGATAGCTCTTCTCAGGCAAGACAAAAATGATCCCATATGTGAACATAAAAATACAGGAAATAATTATGAAAAATGAAAAGGGCCTATATATGGATAAGTCTAAAAGAATATTGAATATAATATTCAATTACATTGAATATAATATTCAATTATATTGAATATTATATTCAATTATATTGAATATTATATTCAATTATATTGAATATTATATTCAATTATATTGAATATATATTGATATATTCAATATATTGAAAGGGAAGAAAAGGAAATAATGGATATTAGAGTAGAAATTATTTAAATAGAAAATAAATGTATATAAGAGGAAAACAACAAGCTGAAAATCGGTTCTCAGAAAAGACTAATAAACAGGAATGAAAAGAGAAACACGGTTGCAGAGCCTACAAACTTAAAAAAAAGATAAGAGACTATCATAACTTTGTGTGGGTATAGTTAAAAATATTAATGAAATGAACAAATTTCTTTAAAAATCTTAAAATGGACATATGAAAAAACAGAAAATATGAATAGTTATCTTTATATATTAAAATATTTAAATCTGTAATTTACATCTCAGATGGCTTCATTGGCGAATGCTTCCAAACATTTAGGGAAAAAAATGGCACCTATTGTACCCAAACTTCCAGAGAATGGAAAAAGAGAGAACACTTCCCAGCTTGTTATTTGTGGGGAATATAATCTGGTCAGCATAATCAGATATAAAATATGATAAGGAAATTATAGAAAAGGAAAAATATAGGTCCATATCCCTCACAAATATAAATGCTAGCCAATCAAACCTAGAGTTGTATAAAAATGAAATATAGGCCAATCAAACCCAGAGTTATATAAAAAGGAAAATACATCACAACTACTTAGAGTTATTATAGGAAATCAAGGTTTTTTTTATCATTCAAAAATCAATATAATTCACTATATTTGCAGAAAAGACAGAAACATACAGTCATTTTAACAGATGCAGAAAAAATTTTTGATAAAATTTATTACCCATGATTTTAAAACAACTCTTAGCAAACTAAGAATAAATTAGAACTTCATTATTTTAAAAAAGGCTATTTATGAAAAACCCACAATAAACCTCACTTTCGCAATAACTGTAAATTATTAAAAGCCTTCTTTTCTCCTACCCATGAAGTTGAGAATGAGACAAAAATGTCCACAGATATCACTTCTGTTGAACATTGTGCTGGGATGCTAGCCAGAGCAGTTAGGCAAAGAAAAGAAATTAAAAGTTTAAGAATTAGAAATGAGGAAATAAAATAGTCACTATTTGCAGGCAGCATAATTATCTATGTGGAAAATTTGTAAAAAATAAATAAATGATTAGAATTAATAAGTGAACTTAGTAAAAGCCCTGGATATAAGTTAAAACACAAAAATGAATTATACCCTTACATACCAGAACCAATTAGAAAATATAATTTAAAAAAATATACAATTTACAATAGCATTTTAGAAATCTCATACCTGAAAAAATATATATATAATAAAAGATGCACAAAAACACTTACATAAAAATTATGAAAAGTTACTGAGAGAAAATAAAACCCAAATAAGTGAAGGGATATACAATGTTCATGAATTATAAGACTCAATATTGTAAAGAGATAAATTGTACATGAATTGATCTATATATTCAATGTAATCCTACTCAGATCCCCAGCAGTTTTTTAGAGAAATTAACAAGTTGATTCTAAAATTTATATGGAAATGCAAAGACTCAATAAAAAACAGGTAATCTTGAAGTAGAAAAATAAAACTTGAGGACTTATAGCAAATGGTAAGAATGTATAAAGCTCTCATTCAAACAGTATGGTGTTGGTGCAAAGACAGAGAACTAGATTAATGGAACAGAATAGAGAAACAGACCCACACACATAGGGTTATTTGATTTATCATAATTGTGTCCCTGCAGTGAAGTGGGAAACAGTTGCCTTTTCAATATATGGAACTGGGTCAATTGGATATTCATTCACAGAAATTATTTCCAGGTTGAAAAACTAAATGTGGAAGGTAAAAAGTGAAGCTCTTTCAAGAAAACATAGAGGAATATTTCAATTATCTTTGGGTAAGCAAAGATGTCTTAAATGGGTCATAGGAAGCACTCACGTAAAGAAAAATATTGATAAATTGGCATTAAAAATAAGAGCTTCTGTTCATCAAAAGACACCCATAAGAGAGTAAAAAAGCAACCACAGATTGGAAGAATATATTTGCAAAACTCATCTCTGACAAAGAGACTTATATCCAGAGTAGATGAAGAATTCACACAAATCTGTAAGGAAAAAATATAACCAACCAAATTTTAAAATGAGAAAAAGACTTAAACAGGCATTTCACAAAAAAAAATTCAGATGGCCAATAAGCACATAAAAAAGATGCTCAATGTGAGTTGTCATCAGGGAAATACAAATTGACCACAATGAGATACTATTCCACATCTACCAGAATGCTAAAATTAAAATTCATCAAGCTATGTACGTGTGCTTTGTACATTTTCTGTATGCAGATTTCCAAAAAATTAACTTCAAAAATAGCTACATATTAATTTTGATTTTTTGTTATTTTTGTCAACTGTATTAAGGCATAATTTACATACAGTAAAATGCATCCATTCTAAGAGTACAGCTTGATGGATCTAGACCAGGGATCAGCAAACTGTGGCCCTTGAGACAAATCCAGCTATACCCATTTGTTTAAATATTGTTTACAAAATTAAGTAGTTGCAACAGAGATCATATGGTCCTCTAAAATATTAACACCCAGCTTATTACACAATCAAGATATGGAATGTTTCTTTCACCCCCAAAAAACTCCTTCCTGCCCCTTTGCCCAGATCTACTCCTGGCCCCAGCAACCACTTTGTTTGTGATATTCTAGATTAGTTTTGCCTTTCCTGGAATTTTATAGAAATGTAATCATAGAGTATATACTTTTCTGGCCCAACTTAATTCATTTGGTGTAATGTTTTTGAGATTCATTCATGCTGTCGTGTGTCTGTAGTTCAGCCCTTTTTATTGTTGAGTGTTATTCCAAGATATTGTCATATCATAATAACAATTACCTATTCACTGGTTGGTGGACATTTGGGATTGTTTCTAGTTTTCAGCTATTACAAGTAAAGTTGTTATGAACACTTATGTACAAATCTTTGCATGGACATATGTGCTTATTTATCTTGAGTAAATAAAAGTGGAATTGCTGGGTTGTATAGTAAACGTATGTTTAACTTTATAAGAAACTAGCTAACAATTTTCCAAAGTGGTTGACCATTTTGCATTCCCAGCAGCGATGTATGCAACTTTTAATTGTTCTAAATCCTCATCAGTACTTGGTATTAGCAATCTTTTCAATTTTAGCTGTTCTAATGGGTATGTGGTAGGATCTTGTGGTTTTAACCTGCATTTGCCTAATTAATGATATGCTTTATTGTGTGCCTATCAGCCATTTGTATATCTTTTTTGTCTGTTCAAATCTTTTGTCCATTTTAAAATCAGGTTGTTTTTCTTATTGAGCTGTGAGACTTCTTTATGTATTCTTGGTATAAGTCAGGATGTGTGTGTGTGTGAGAGTGTGTGTGTGTGTGCGTGTGTGTGTGTGAGTGTGTGTGTGCGTGTGAGTGCGTGTCTGTGTGTGGAGAGAGAGTACATTTCTTGCAAGACATGGCTTGAGTTTTCATTTTCTTAATAGCATCTGTATTTGTTTCCTATTGATGCTGTGACAAATCGCCACAAATTTACTGACTAAAAGCAACACGAATTTATTATTTTATAGTTCTGGAGGTCGGAAGTCAATTTCATGGAGCTAAAATTAGGTGTTGGCAGGACAGTGTTCCTTCGGAGGCTCAAGGGGAAAATTCATTTCCTTGCCTTTTCTAGCTTCTAGAGGCTTTCTGCATTTTTTTGACTGGTGGCTCCGCATCACTCCAACCTCTGCTTCTGTCATCACATCTACTCTGACCCTCCTCCCTCCCTCCTTAAAAGGACCCTTGTAACTACACTGGGCCCACTTGGGTAATTCAGGAAAATCTCCCTATCTCAAGATCCTTAATTTGATCACATCTGAAAAGTCTGTTACCATGTAAGGTAATATATGCACAGTTCCCAGGATTAGGACATGGACATCTCTGGGAGGCCATTATTCAGCCTGCTACACTGTCTTTCAATGAACAAAAGTTTAAGGTTTTTTTTTTCTTTTATTAGTCAGGTTTCTCCAGAGAAACAGAATCATCAGGAGATATACAGAGATATGAAAAGATATTTATTATAATGAATTGGCTCACATGATGATGGAGGCTGACAAGTCACAAGATCTGCAGAGTGAGTCGGCAAGCTGGAGAGCCGGGAGAGCTGACAGTATAGTTCTGGACAACTCTAAAGGCCTGAGAATCAGGAAAGCTGATGGTATAGTTCCAGTGCAAAGCTGGCAGGCTCAAGACTCAGGAAGAGCCAGTGTTTTAGTTCAAGTCCAAGGGCAGGAAAAAGTTGACAGCCCAGCTCAAATGCCATCAGGCAGGAGGAATCCTCTCTTACTCAAAGGAATGTCAGCCTTTTCGTTCTAGTCAGGCCTTCAACTGATTAGACGAGGCCCACCCACATTAGGGAGAGCACTCAGCTTTATCCAGCCTACCAAGTTAAATGTTAATTCCATCCAAAAACACCCTCACAGAAACACCCAGAATGATGTTTCACCAAATGTATGGGCACCTGTGACCCAGTCAAGTTGACACATAATATTACTTGTCCCAAGGCCTATGATCCATTTTGAGTTGAATTCTGTGTGTTGTGATAAGTAAGAAGAATTAAGGCTTTTTGTTTTTTTGGGTTTTTGGGGTTTCTTCCAAATGGATATCCAACTTTTTCAGCATCATTTGTTGAAAAGACTAACCTTTCCTCGTGGAAAACCTCAGTAGCTTGGTCGAAAATCAATTGACCATACATGTCTATGGATCTACATTTAAACTCTCCATTCTGTTCCATTCATTAATATGCCTATCCTTATGCCAATACTTTATTGCTGTAGCTTTATAGTATCTCTTGAAGTCTGGTAGTATAAATCTTCCAACTTTGCATTTTTTCAAAATTGTTTTGGCTATTATGAGGTCTTTGCATTTCAATATAAATTTTAGAATACATTTGTCAATTTCAGTTTTTTAAAAGCCTACTGATGTTTTCATTGGGATTGCATTAAATCTATGGATCGATTGGGGGAAAATTGGTATCTTTGATTTTAGTGCTTTTCCAATTTTTTTTGTTGTGATAAAATGCATGCAAAGTTTACCATCTTAATCCTTTTTAAATTACACATCAGTGGTATTAAGTACATTCACAATATTGTACAAACATCACCACCATCCATCTTCATAATGCTTTTCATTTTGCAAAACTGAAACTCTGTACTCACTAAACAAAAACGCCCCATTTTCCTCTCCCCACATTCCCTGGATCATCATTCTCTTTTCTGCTCAATGAGTTTGACTACTCTAAGTACTTCATATAAATGGAATCATACAATATTTGTCTTTTTGTGACTTGCTTATTTCACCAAAAATAACATCCTTGAGGTTTATCCATATTGTAATGTATGTTAGAATTTCATTTTTAAAGGCTGAATAATATTCCATTGTGTGTGTGTATATGTATATATATGTATACACTATATTTTGCATATCCATTCATCTATCAATGTACAATGGACAATGGGTGAGTTGCTTCCCCATTTTGGCTATTGTGAAGAATGAACATGGGTGTACAAAGATCTCTTTGAGACCCTGCTTTCAATTATTTTGGGTACATACCCAGAAGTAGAATTGTGGATCATATGGTAATTATATTTTTAATTTTTTGAGGAATTGCCATACTGTTTTCCAGAGTGACTGTATCATTTACATCCCCATTGACAGTGATAGTAGCCATCCTAATACCGATAGGTATGAGGTGGTATCTCATTGTAGTTTTGATTTGCATTTCCCTAATGATTAGTGTTGTTGAACACCTTTTCATGTGTTTATTGGCCATTTATATCTCCTTTGGAGAAATGCCTATTCAAGTCTTTTGCCCATTTTTTAATTGAATGGCTTGTTTTGTTATTGTTGAGTTTTATGAGTTCTCTATATATTCTGGATATTAACCCCTTATCAGATTAGATACATGACTTGCAAGTATTTCCAACTTGGGTTCTTTTGTTTTTTTTTTTTAGAGATGGGATCTTGCTATGTTGCCCAGGCTGGTCTCGAACTCCTGGCCTCAAGCAATCCACCCGCCTTGGCCTCCCAAACTGCTGGGATTACAGGCATGAGCCACCATGCCCAGCCTAATTTGGGTTCTTTTTTTAAAGTAAGATTCTAACTGTTAATAAACTGAGGAACCTCATTGTCCATGATATTCACAATAAATGATAATAAAAAGAAAAACAGCTGTAATTTATCGAACCCCGGGCTGGTACAGGTACTCTAAATATATTATTTTACTTAATAATCCTAGTAACACCATGAGATGTCATGCCATTCTCAAAATGTATAGGTGAAGACTCTGATACTCTGAGAGGTTAAGTAACTGGCCTGAGGTTACCATGTTAACAAGTGGTGGAACTGGGATTTGAACCTAGGCTTTCCTGACTCCAAAATCCACACCTTTTTGTCAAAAATACTCTGGCTACTTCACATTATGTTCCTCTATCCCTGCCTCCTCCTGCCCTGACCTCAACTTCTACCTACTTGACTCCCTAATTAACATTTACTAAGCACCTATTGTGTGTACTTTGTGCTGGGTTAGGTGATTTATGCATCTCATCTCTTCCCTCAGAGAGCTAGACGTTCATGTATGTCTATGTACCCTCACATGTACACACAGGTCTGCCTCCCCTGCAAAAGTCCCCATGTTGGGGGTAAGGTTCAGCCCACCATCAACTCTGCTACGAAGGCAGGGCAAGCTGGGGGCAGCTCCTAACCATGCCCACCCCACTCTCCTAAGCATGCCCATCCCACTCTCCTGGCCAGCCCTAGGCCTCTGAGATTTCAGGGACTTCTCACTCAGCTCATCTGTCTGGCTGATCATTGTAGAAGAGGTTGCAGATTTCCATCTTTGGATGAATGGTTTGATCCTTTTCTCTCGCTCTCAATAAATAAGCAAACTTGCACAAAGCAATTGAGATGAATGGCAGAGGACCCATCTCTAACTGTGGGAAACCAGCACTGCTATTTTTAGGTAACCCACTTGCTCTGCGATCTCACCCCTCTGTGGATAGATTTCTTCTGCTCACACAGGATCGGCTCCGAGGAAGCAGGTTTTCCGGGACACTCTTTCATTCCCAGCCACTCTGGTGTATCTGGCCATCCCATCCCCTAGCATCCCCATCCCCAAGACCCCAAGCTTGGGTCTGGCTTTCAAAGGTCTGAGATCAACAGTAGCAGTACCTTAATTCTGACCTCCATCTGCAGCAGTAGCAACACCTTCTGTGTGAAGTCTCTGCTCATTTAATGATCAGAGGGAAC
This sequence comes from Homo sapiens, assembly GCF_000001405.40. NCBI lineage: Eukaryota > Metazoa > Chordata > Mammalia > Primates > Hominidae > Homo > Homo sapiens. Next base: position 76,279,859 of record NC_000014.9, on the reverse strand, counting down.
TTGGATACACAAGGGTAAAAGAGCATCTTGGTCAAACTGTCCTCTTTTGCCCATACTTAGCATGGAATAGTTAGACACCCTAGTCCTTCAGTGGGGTGTCTAGTGTCAGCATTAGAAATTAGGGAAACATTTAGGGGCAGGCTGGATGCAAGCCATGAAACGTCTGTCAGACATTCACTCCCTCATTCAGCAAACATGCATGGGACACTCACTACTAGGTTCATGGTACAATATGCAATACAGGGGACAGGAAGGAGCATAGGACACAGTCCTTGGCCCCAAGAACACACAGGCTGGTGCATAGGCTACAAATAGCTACTGTAACAACAGGATGAGCACTGCAAGAGGGGACATGAGGAAAGCAAAAATAAATGTCACTGAAGAACAGGACACACCAAGAGGGAGCTTCACCCCAGAGAGCCGTGGGCACCAGGTGGTCCAATTCCAATTACAAGGAAAGAGTGGAAGGAGGGGGATGGATTCCCCAGGAGAGGACATGGCTGAAGGCCACTTCACACCCAGCTGATTTCACCTGCCTGGTCTCCAGTGAAGACAGAATGTAAGGAAAAAGGCCAACTCCACCTAGGCATGATGGAGATGCCTTGGTCAGGATGTCAGTGGAATAGGCTGTACAACTCTCCTTTGAGGGGTGTCTACAAATACGATGGATGCTCATCAGTTTGACATGGTTCAAATTCAGTTCTGGCTAAAGACAGGGAACTAGATGATGATGTCCTCTCAAGGTCACTACCAGATCTCAAAACCTCAGACCTCAGGGAAAATGATGGTGCCCCTCTTGCCATACAGTTAAGACTCCTGCATGTGACTTAGTAAAGAACATGCCTTGAGAACTTCAGGGTAGAACTAGGAAACAGGCAAAGGAACAAGAAAGAAGAGAATGTGTATATGGTCGAATGTGCATTATCGGTGGAGTAGTGGTGAAGGGTAGTGAGGCTGGAGTCAGGCAGACCTTGGTTCAAAACTCAGCTCTACCACTTCTTACTTGCTGTGTGACCATGGGCAAGTTATGAAACCTCTCTGAGCCCCCCCAAGTTCCTTATCTGTAAAAAAGCCTAAATGGTCTTCCCCATAGTTGTGAGAACAAATGATGCAAATGTGTATGAATCACCTAACCTCCTGTCCCATGCTTGTTGAGCGGATGGATGAAAGAAGTGCTTAGGAAAAGCCTGGCAGAAAGTAAACACTCAATAAACACACACCATCATTATTAGCATCATCCAAATCCCTGCCCTACCTGCACCTGTCCCACCACTGCTCATGTTTTCCTATCATTTGTAGAAAACAATAAAATACAAGCACAAACACAGGTCTTGGCCCTGGGCTGTCTGTTAACCAGCACATTGCTTCTCTTCTGTTGTCTTCCTGTTTGCATCCAGTTCTTCCACAATCCCAGCCAACAATTTTCTAAAATGAACAGAGAGGATCCTGGTCTATTCTTCTAACTCTGCCTCCATTCTTC